>NC_000009.12:37434242-37585757 GCF_000001405.40 Homo sapiens | reverse complement strand
GCCTGTCTAATTTTTGTAGTTTTAGTAGAGATGATGTTTCATCATGTTGGCCAGGCTGGTCTCGAACTGCTGGCCTCAGGTGATCCGCCCATCTCAGCTTCCCAAAGTGCTGAGATTACAGGTGTGAGCCACTGCACCTGGCCTAAAAAAAAAAACTATCATTTTGAGAGGGTACTGTGTAATGGAGGCTGTTTTGCTGCATAGAGTTGCAGAGAGCATCTGATTACTTAAACCTTGCACCAATTCTTATTTTAATGTCTACCCTTCTACCCCTTATTGCTAGAGGCACCTGAAGCCACTAGTTTCTGAGCCTTTTAGGGATTCCATGATATAAATTAGGTTGTGAGTTTTTGTTGTTGTTTGGGGGTTCTTGTGGGTTTTTTTCTTTTTCTACCGCTGGCTCAGAATTCAGTTTTTCAGAGTCTACTACATTATTTACTGTTGATCTACCTATTTTCCAGCTTCTAACGTTTTATTCCTGTTTCCTCTTTTCTTCCATCCTTTTAGGTTTATATCTTAAAACAAAAACCTTTACCGTCATTTAATGGGATTTTTGGGAGGGAGTGGAGGTAGGTATACGTGCTTCATCTACCATCTTAACCTGGAAAGCATGTATTTTAATTCTGTGGTTTTGTATTTATTTCTTAAATTAAGAAGGTGTAGTGTATGGCACTGTGGTCATATGAATACTGGCTCTAAAGACAGGCAGACTTGATTTTGAATGTTGGCTCCAATACTTACGAGATGGGTGATTTTCAGCAAGTGAGCTCCGAATCTCATTTTCTTTAACTATAAAATTAGGATAATAGAAACATCTCTCTACTTCAAAGTGTCGTAAGGATTAAGTGAAAAAATGCAAGTAGAGCAGCTGGCACAATTGCTTGACATTTGGTAAATGTTATTAATGGCTAGTCTTTGGTATAAGGCATTTAGAAGTGATTTGTGCTGGCATTCACAGCATAGACAGATCTCATTCCTATTTCCAGATGCTCTGAGATAGCATACTCATCCTCTAATTGTGTACAAACTTCAAACTTACCAAACACTTAAGTTCATTATCTAAAAATAGCCTTAACCAATCAATAATAATGCCATTTTACAGGTGGAGAGGTTGAGACTGCAAGTTTCAGTGGCCAATGAGTAGCAGCTGGCCAAGGCCTAGGGGACTTTTTTTTTTTTTTTCATTTAAAAAAATTATTTCTAGTCAGTCTGTGCTTATCCAGGGGACTTTTAATGTTTATTTATTCCTTGTACCCCATCCTTACATGCTTTTCTTGGAGGAAAATAGTGTAATTGTTACCCTGGATTCTAGTGTATGTTCAGGCTGGAGTAAGAGAAAATGTGATGGTTCAGTTTTTGTGACCAGCTTTTTAACTTTCAGGCCATAAACGCCACAGAGGGGCTCAATACTTGGAATAAGCAGTTCTAAAATAGTACATTAAGAAACAGTTGGGGAGATATATACAGTTTGTTTGTTTGAATATGTAACATGAAATAAGAAAGAACCATAGCAAATTTGAGTTTGGTAAACTCTTGAAAGGGGTACGTTGAAAGAAATGGGGATAGTGAAAAATGTTTATTCTCCACAAACAGGTTACCAGCTTAGTAGGAATGCTGCTCCTAAGTTAAGGTAGTGTACTTCCTGCTGTCAGTGCAACATTAAAAAAAAAAACTGCTTTATCATTGCTCTTTATAGTTCTTCTGTGGAGTAAGTTAGCATTACAGTTAACATGTTCAGCAGTTCACAGGCTGGAAAATTTGGGCCTACATTTGGAATGAAGAACAAGTACAGGAATCAGGACTTCTTGTTCTCTTCCCCCTCTTTGCTTGAGCTAAGCTTGTCTCTTACAAGATCCAGGCACCATTCTTTTTACTCTATTTTGCTTTTATAGCTTGATCATGTCATAAATTCTGCATGTAGCTCAGTCGTCAAGCCACTAAAGCAGGGGTTGGCAAGCTTTCTGTTAGGGGCAAATGGTAAATATTTTAGGCTTTGTGGGCTCTTACGATCTCTCAGCTGCCAACTGCAGTTGGTAGTATGAAAGCAGCCAGGGACAATATGCAAATGAGTGGGTGTGGCTGTGTCCCAATAAAACTTTATTTACAGAAAAGATGGCTGGCCGGATTTGTCCTACAGGACACCTTCTAAAGTAAAGAGTAAAATTTGGCTAAGTGTGAAATGGTCACCAAATCACTTTTATTACTTTAAAGATGTTCATTTTATCATAGATCAAAGCCCTGAGATTACAAATTCATTCATCAGCGTTACTGAGTTCCTGCTATGTGCCAGGCACTGTGCTAGGAGTTGAGGATATGGACGGGCAGGGGGACTGCCTTTTTGAGGTCTATAATCTGCCATAAGATGCCATGTGAGTAAATATCTCAAAGACCTGAAAACCTTGCTGGAGGCTCAGAGAGAACTTACCTGAAAACATGACATTTAAAGGAACCTGAAGGGATAGGTCCAGGTTATCTAGGGTGACTAGGTAAAGGGAGGGTCAGGCAAAGATCATGTTGATCAAGGTGGGGAGTTCAGAATTGTCCACTTAAAACAATATTGGATGCAATATGGGTACTGTATTTGAAGGAGAGGTCAGAGGGGTATATGAGCAGCTCAGCATTTATTTAGATACGTGTAGTGAGGAAAGAAAGGCATCAAAGAAGACTCCCTGATTTCTGGTTTAAGTGCAGGGTTGACGGTGCCATTCGCTGAAGTAAGGAACAAGTTTCAAGGGGAAAATAATGGGTTCGATTTTGAGCCTGGGAGGCAGTAGGGAGGACTCCCTTAGGAAGAGACACATAAAGTAAGGTTTGGGTGAATAGGAATTGGCCAGATAGAGCGGGGCATCTTTGAAAAAGTGTTAAAGCAGATGTATTTGAGGAAGAAAGACCAGTGTGACTGAAGTGTGTTGTGCACAGAAGAGCAAGAAAGCCTCAGTCCTTCCAGAAACTCCTGTTATTTATTGTGTTTTCATACTTGAGTCTTAAGAGATTCCATTCTGACATCTGCTGGCTATTGTGTATACTGCAGTTCCAAATTCCACTACACAAGAACAACCTTTAATAACGTATTTTTTGAAATTTGTCATAATAAATTTGAGATAAAACACAAGACCTTTTCCTTACTCTGTGTTATGGACATCACCCAGGAGACAGTGAACAGTTGCTACTTACATGCTACTTGTGTATGCTCAGTATTACAGATATGCCTATGTGGTGTCAGTTGCCTACTTTAGCATAAGTACACAAAACATAGAAATCACATATGTAAAAGTTGAATATACTTGTTACTGAGATGTAAAACATTACAAAATCATTTATGCACTTTGTCTTTTAAACATACGAAATATTTTCAGAGTTATGAAATATGTTCTTAAATTGTTTCTTTCATTCAGAAATAAAACACAGCTGGTTTTAGTCCAACAGTCATTATAAGGCTAAAAAGATCTACTTTAAGCGTGTCTAATAGTTTTTCATCTTTTTCTCAGTCACATTAGTAATAGTAGAGTTGACCCTTGAACAACACAGATTTGAAGTGCACAGGTCCACTTACGTGCAGATTTTTTTCAAAAAATGCGTTGAAAAATCGGAGATTTGCAACAATTTGAAAAAAGCACACATATGTAGTCTAGAAATATTGAAAAAATTTAAGATAAAGGATGTCATGAATGCATAAAATATATGTAGATTGTAGTCTTACTCATAAAATGCACACATCTATTATAAAAAATTAAGATTTATCAAAACTTATGTACACAGACCATACATAGCACAATTTGAGGTCAAGAGAAAGATGCAGTATTAAATCATAACTGCATAAAATTATCTTTTGTAATAGTGTAATACAGTAAGTCCATAGCCACCTCTTGTTGCCACTGCAGGGAGCTCAAGTGTTATAGGTATCCACTTAAAATGCCATGTGACACTCATCTCTGCATGAGCAGTTCCTCGCTCCAGTAAATTGCAAATCAAAGTAAAAGCGATCCCTCTCTGTCTCATGTATTTTTTGTGTTTAATACCATACCACAAAACTTTGAATAACTCCATGGGATCTATACAGAGTGCCACTAGTGATGCTGGAAGTGCTCCCAGGAAGCAGAGAAAAGTCATGACATTAAAGGAAAAAGTTGAATTCTTGATATGTACTATAGATTGAGGTCTGCAGCTGTAGTTGCTCTGATTTCAGACACGACTAATCTTGTAAACAGACAACCTAAACTTAGAATCTAAATAAATACGGTATAGTACTGTCAATGCTTTTTCTCTCTGTGATTTTCTTAACATTTTCTCTAGCTTACTGTGTTGTAAGAATACAGTATATAATAGATAATGATACAAAATACATATTAATCTATTTTTTATGTTATCGGTAAGGTTTCTGTGCAACAGTAGGCTATTAGTAGTTAAGTTTTTGGGGAGTCAAAGTTACATGCAGATTTGTGACTGTGCAGGTGTCGGGGCCCCTAACTCCCACGTTTGTTCAAGTGCGGGGTATTTTCATTTCCACTTAAGTATATAGAGGCCAAAAATGCAAAAAAGAAAGAAACTATTACATAAACAGATGTACAAAGATAATACTGCATTTGAAATACAGTCACTTGAAATGTTCACTAATCAGCTTACATATTCAAGTATAAATTCGGTGAACAAAATGATTTAGGGACAGCGATATGTAATGTAAAAATTGTGGGTTGTTGGAAAGTAGAGATCTGTCTACATGGAAAGAATACTAGAATTAGGATTTCAATGTCCTAGATTATAGTTTCAGCTCTGCTATTTATCATGTGACTATGTGAGTCAGATTTTTTAGTTGCAAACACCAAAATCCAATTTTGACAGAAAAAGAAAAGTATTTTATTAAAAGGATAACAGGGAGTTCAGTATCACCAGGAGGCCTAGAGAATTAGGCTTGGAGAGTAGGCAACTGGAACATCACCCTTTGTTCCTTGGTCATACTCCACAGAGCTGGGGCAGTGAGGACGCCATTTCTGCTGAACATTAGGTGCCACCACTTACTTTGCCAAAGCCACATGCACAGAACCCTGGATCATGGCAGCCAGTGTTGCTCTAAGAACTTGCCGCACTTGCCATGGTCCCAGAGAAAATTATTCCAGAGACTTTATTGTGTCTCTGGTACTTAATTCAAAATCAAGAGTAATTTGTAGCATGATAGAATCACAAGGAGAAGCAGAGAAAATACCTGGAATTTCCACTTCTATAGTGAAAGGCATGTTCTGCTTCCCAGCAAACTCATAAACAAGGAATTCCCAAATGTAGGAAGGGACCTCAGATGCTGGGCAGCCAAAAAGCATGGCATGTCCACTATGTTGACCTGGGACACCACTCTGTGTGAGCCTACTTTTTCTGGAAAGCAAAGTAAATAAAGCTCCCATGGCTGAGGAGATTTTGTGTGTTCACTTATACATTTGCCAGTAAACACCAGCCAGGTGCCAGTGTATAAAGATGAGTAAGTTTCCTCTCGAGTCTAATGGTAGGATAGAGGCATGCAGAGGTGAGATGAGGGCAGAAAGAAGAGAGGGCTCAACTGTAGTTTGTGAATGATGTTCTTATATTTAAGTAGTTATATTTTTGGCTGGGCGCATTGGCTTACACCTGTAATCCCACCACTTTGGGAGGCCGAGGCAGGTGGATTACCTGAGGTCAGGAGTTTGAGACCAGACTAATCAATATGGTGAAACCCTGTCTCTACTGAAAATGCGAAAGCCTGTAGTCCCAGCTACTTGGGAGGCTGAGACAGAAGAATCGCTTGAACCCAGGAGGTGGAGGTTGCAGTGAGCTGAGACTGAGCCACTGCACTCCAGCCTGGGCAACAGAGCGAGACTCTGTTTCAAAAAAAAAAAAAAAAAAAAAAAACCCCTGGCCAGGTGTGGTGGCTCATGCCTGTAATCCCAGAGCTTTGGGAGGCTGAGGCGGGCGAATCACCTGAGGTCGGGAGTTTGAGACCAGCCTGGCCAACATGGTGAAACCCCGTCTCTACTAAAATACAAAAATTAGCTGGGCCTAGTGGCTGGTACCTGTTAATACCAGCTACGGGGGAGGCTGAAGCAGGACAATCGCTTGAACCTGGGAGGTGGGGGTTGCGGTGAGCCAAGATCATGCCATTGCACTCCAGTCTGGGCGACAAGAGCAAAACCCCATCTCAAAACAAACAAAAATTCCCATGTGGCACGTGATGCTTGCCCCACTAATAGGGAAGACAGCTTGCTCTTGTAGGACACTGCTGTAGCACTTTGAAAGTCAGCTGTTTTATACAAATACCAAAATGATAATGTTAGCTGGCACAAATCCAGAAACTCAAGCTTTTGATTGTTTATTGACAGTCATATCTGGACTGCCAGTTTCATGGAGTAAGATACTTTTCAAAGGATTAAATATGGCATAGCTTTGTCAGTCAGCAAGGTAAATCATCAGGCTCATTGCAGTGTGAGACTACCCCTGTGGTCTTTCTACTATACCTAGCTACTGTACAACTTTGTGTCTTAAAATAAATTGTTGGCTTTAGGTTTTAGTGTTTGGTTTTCTTATTTATAAAAGAGACCAGCTACATGGTAACTTAGACCTCACCCAGAATCATACCACATTCACCATATGGTAATAATAGATGGAATACATTTTTATGGAATATATTCTATAGAACCAGGGACTGAAAAAGGTCAGTAGGACCACGGGGTCAATTATTTCAGGCCACAATTTCGTGTAATAATTTCTTTTTCATAGTATTCTTGGTAAATTATGTTTCTATAGCTGATATTCTCTCGTAAATTCCGGAGGTCTGTATCCAACTCCTTTTCTTTTTTAGAGACAGGGTCTTGCTTCGTTGCCCAGGTTGGTCTCAAACTCCTGGGTTCAAGCGATCCTCCTGCCTCAGCCTCCTGAGTAGCTGGGATTACAAGTGAACTGCTTTTTTTTTTTTTTTTTTGAGACACAGTCTCACTCTGCCACTCAGGCTGGAGTGCAGTGGCGCACGATCTCTGCTCACTGCAACCACCACCTCCCAGGTTCAAGCGATTCTCCTGCCTCAGCCTCCTGATAGCTGGAATTACAGGCACGCGCCACCACACCCAGCCAATTTTTGTGTTTTTAATAGAGACGGCGTTTCACCATGTTGGTCAGTCTGGTCTCAAACTCCTGACCTCGTGATTCGTCCGTTCGACCTCCCAGAGTGCTGGGATTACAGGCGTGAGCCACCACGCCCAGCCGTGAATTGCTTTTTTAATCACTCCACTTGGATGACACACAGGCATCTCAAAATTAATTATTTTTAATTGATAGATAATTGTACATATTTATGGGGTACATGTGATATTTGACTCATGCATACAATACGTAATGATCAAATCAGGGTATTTAGAATATCCATCTCAAAAATTTATCATTTATTTGTATTGGGAGCATTTAAATCTAGCTATTTTGAAATATACAATAAATTATTGTTAACTACAGTCACCCTACTGTGCTATTGAACACTAAAATTTATTCCTTCTATCCATGTTTGTACCCATTAACCAACCTCTCTCTATCCCCTTCCCCTCCCAGCCTCTGGTAACTGTCATTCTACTTGCCAACTGCATGAGATCAACTTTTTAGCTCCCACGTATGAGTGAGAACATGTGATATTTGTCTTTCTATGCGTGGCTTATTTCACTTTACATAATGACCTCCAGTTCCATCTGTGTTGCTGCAAATGACAGGCTGAATAGTATTCTGTTGTGTATATATGCCACATTCTTTTTATCCATTCATCTGTTGATGAAGACTTAGGTTGCTTCCATATCTTGGCTATTGCGAATAGTGCTGCAATAAACATGGGGATCCAGGCATACCTTTGACATACTGATTTCCATTCCTGGATAAATATCCAGCAGTGGGACTGCTGGATCATATGGCAGTTCTAGTTTTACTTTTTTGAGAAACCTCCATGCATTTTTCTATACTGGCTGTATAATTCAGTGTATGAGAGTTCCCTTTTCTCCATGTCCTCACCAGCATTTGTTATTTTTTTGTCTTTTTGTTAATAGTCATTCTAACTGGCAGTGTCAAATTTAACAAGTTCAAATGGGAGTTCTTGATCTCCCCCCGCTTCCAAATATATTCCCCTTACAATAGTTCCCATTTCAATAAATAGCACCTCCACGGGCCCAGTTAATAGGTTAAGCTACCAATCTCTGCTTCCACCCTTAACTCCTGTCTTCACATAGTAGCTGACATACTGCTTTAAAAGGTATCAAATCCTCCACCCCTTCGATGGCTTCCTGTTACGTACAATTTTAAAATCCTTATCATGGCCTATTAAGTGCTGCGTGATCTGGCCCCTACCTACCTTTCTGACCTCACTTATATTGTTCTTCCCGTTAAAAAGCTTCAGACAAGCTAGACGTTTTCCATTTCCACAAAGAGCGATCTTTTCTCCTCCAACCCAACCCACCTGGTCCAAGAGTTTTCACAGGGCTTACCCTGCCCCTCTTCCATTTGGCTAACTCTTTATCTTACTCTGAGAGGTCTTCCTTGACTACCCTTCCTTGGTCCCTAATTTATTTAGTTTTATTTTTGAAACAAGAGTCTCGCCCTGTCACCCAGGCTGGAGTGCAGTGGCACAATCATGGCTCACTGTTAACCTCGAACTCCTGAGCTCAAGTGATCTTTCCTCCAGCCTCGGCCTGCAAAAGCGCTGGGATTACAGGCATGAACACCTGGCCCCTATTTTTAAATTACAGCTCCTTCCGTGCATTTTCTACAATTTTAAACACATATTGGTTTAAATGACACTTGATTACCGTCTACCTTCTCCACTACAGAATTAACTTCAGGAGAAGAGGAACCATATCTGCTTTGTTCACTTTTGTGCCCATAATAGTAACGGCACCAGCAGCAACAAACATACAGCATTTACTTTGTGGCAGGCATTATGCTAAGCGCCATACATACAACTAATTTAATATGTACTCCTAGTACATTGTCTGGCAGGTAGCCAATGGTCAGTTTGTTCAGTGAATGAACCCAGACCCTACATGCTCATCTACAGGGTGCCTAGCACCCCAGGAAACTGCTCCTTATACTGTTAGATAACTGGTGCTCGCAGGAATCTTATTTACACTGTATTGGCCTTAGCATGCCTCCCTGCAGTTTCCACCCACTGGTTCTATTTCTGCCCCTTCTGGGGCCACGCAACACGAGCCTGAATCGTCCTTCCGCAAGCTCGCCTTTGCAGTACCCGAAGCCCCACGCGCCCCCTCCTCGTCTGCCTTCCTCCCGCCTCCCGGTGCCCCTCCTGCAGATACAGCTTTTATGCGCGGTGGTCGGGAAGCCCAGCCCCGGCCAGCCAGCTGCTCCCGGCATCCTTCGCCGCCTTGCGCGTCACATGACGGCGGCGGCTCCGCACGATCCCCAGGCAGCTGTCCGCCCCCGGGCGGGGCTGGCCGCACGCCGCAATCCTACCGGCTGCTGCGGCTCCAGCGGGGGCGGCGGGTGGCTTCCAGGGCACCGGCGGCCGCGGCCCGGACTCCGCGGTGGGCGAGCGCCCTGTGAGGTAAGCGGCCGGTGCGCAGAGGCTGCGGGCGAACTTGGGCGGCCGGGGGAGGGGACCCGGGGCGCTTCCCCAGGCGACCGACCCAGGAGGCGCCGCTCAGTCCTGGCCGAGGCTGAGCGTCTGGTCGGGCTTCGGGCATCAGGGGTCTGGCAGGACCATGAGGCGTACCCTCAGGCCGCCCGCGGCTCCGCGGTCCCCCGGCATCCGGAGGCTCAGGCGCGCCGACGGAGAGCTATGCCTTGGTTTACCCTCCCGTAAAACTACCGGACGCGGAGCATGTATCTCCGCGGTGCCTCCAGCCCTGAGATTTTTCGAGTGTGTAAGTAAAGTCGAAGAAGAAGAAGCTGACTCTTGGGATGGGAAGAGCCTTCACCTAGGAACGCAGGGGCAAATATGGGGCTGGGCACCCACTGTGTATTTTATGCAAATCTCAAGGGGCAAATATGGGGCTGGGCACCCACTGTGTATTTTATGCAAATCTCAAGCCTCTCAGACGGTTTTTTCATCTTTAAACAAAAAGTGATAACCCCTGTCCTGCCTCGCTCTTAGGACTACAGTGAAGAACAGAGGGGAAAGTCATTTGAGGAGCCAGAACTCTGGAGTCAGTTAGCTCTGGTTCAGATCACAGTTCTGCCACTTACTGGCTTTGTGACCTTCAGCCAGATTGATTCCTCATCTGTGAAAAGGAGGTAATAAGCTCATGGGTTGCTGGGAGGATTAATTGTAAAGGGTTTAGCACACAGTGTCTGGCACAAAAGCCTCAGTAGATAATGCTGTTAATATAAGCATTATTAGTAAGCTAGAGATTGCCCCACGTGAAGGGCTTTTTCAGCAGAATAATCACATTTGTTTCTATATTTTTAGTCCTGAAAACTGCCGTTTTGGTTTGTAAGACCTTTTCTTTTTCTCATTCTGGGCCCCCTTTGCCTTCTCTTTTACAATTGGCATATGAACCTGTTGTTCCTACCATATGAGTCAGGCTGGATGGGAACATCAATTTACTTGAGCAGATTGGTATCAGATTCCCTCTGAGGGGAGAGAAAAGTGCCAGGCATGTGTAGCCACCGAAAAAAAAAACACAGTACGGTGATTGACTGTCAGAGCTGGAGGATGCCTGGGAAACCATCTAATCCAGCTGTCTCCTTTGCAAATGGAGAGACTGGACCCAGAAGGACGACAGGACTTTGATTTTGCTCAGGACCCAACAGAGTGCTGGCAGTGGGTAGTGGAGAGGATGGACCTTTTACCAGGCACTGTGCTTTCCCTCAGTTCTAATCTCATTCCGCATTTATTCAGCAGCTATATGGAACCCCTACTCTGTCTTGTACACCTACTAGGATCTGGACATAGAGCTGTGAACAAGACACACATGGTCCCTGTCCTCAAGGGGCTTTTTCCAGAGCTAGCTATGTTAGTTTGAGGTTATATAATGTTTTATATATATATCCATCTCCCTGCCCGTTCTCAGTACATTTTAAAATAACAATAAGCTGCAGCTCCCAGTGAGCTTACCTCATAACAGCTGGCCTCCAGGGATAGGAGCACACAGAGAGGCCTGAATTGTTTCCTGATCCCTCACACCAGTTCCAGAGCCCTTGCTGGAGCCTGGTGAGATTTGAGAGACTGGAGAAAAAGCTGCTTTATCAGGGCTTTTAAGAAAGGATTTCCTTCTGCCCTGGAGCACTTGGATTTCTTTGTCTTTCTGGTTTCAAGCCTATTATTGTTTTTAGATTTCTGAGAAGAGCCGCCTTCACCATAGTGCCATCATTTTGGTTGCCGTGGTTATCAGGGGAATTGTATTTTTATGATCGCACAAGTAGCTGTTAAGCAATAAATGCTCAAGCAGTCACCAGGTCACCATGAGTTTCCGTTCTCTGGTTTCTTTCAGTTGCAGTGCAGTTACACTATCCCTTCCTTCCCTCCCTCCTTTTTTCCTTCAATAAACGTGCATTGGTGGCAGTGCCAAGAGGAGTGGGAGTGAGTAGAAATAGATAAAAACATACGTAGACTCTGGCCTTAGGGACCTCAGATTCTTTGGCAGGGATAAAACTGAGGGCAGATTAGTGGGGGCTCTGATGATGTAGATAGGGAGTCAGCAAGAGCTCTCAGAGATGGGAGGGATGGTGTCCTGGGCAACCAAGAAGACATCACTTGCTTTTCACAGGAAGATGTGAAGTAAACAAATTCCTTGTACCTGCTTCAGTCAGGAAATAGATGGAACAAGTGTTTTGTTCTTTCAGTTTGCCTTAATGAATGAACCTATTCTTGAGTTACCTGTCATGGGTTTTGTTTGAAATGTCTGCTAATTTCTCTCATTACCCTCTTTTAGTTTAGTGATTATTAGTTTCCCACTCGTCTAAAATGTTTGATACTGTATACATAAAGGAATGTACACAAAGAGACATTTGATTAAGATTTTGTCTATTTCAGTTTAGATGTTTAACATGTGTGTCTCATTTCACAAGTTGGGTTTACATTCACTCTTGTCTTTCCTTATTTTTTTCTAAGTAGACTCCCAAGTCCTCTCTAATGTCCTTATTAGTGAGAATTCCAGTGTCTCCTTCTCCAGCCTCTCTGGGGGCTTATACATTCCAATGGGGTCAGTCTTACTGTCACTCTCCAGAGGAGAGAGAACTGCATTGTCTGAGCAGTCCACACACATTGTCATTCCTGACACAGCTATATGGCATAACTGTTGAAGAGCTGTCCTACACAGTCCACGGATGTGTGATCACTGCTGCTCAATGCCCTTATTGGACCAAATCTCTGCCAGCATGATTCCATGCTTGGTTTTCCAAGGTTAGAGCTTGTTTCATTTATGCTTGCGTGCTCAGCCATTCTCCCCAAAGCACCTCACTCTGGGCTTTTGTTGAGCTTTTCACCAGGCTGGGTTCCCCTGGTGTCCTGGAGAGTTCTCTTTTAGGGCATTTGGGGCCCTTCCTGCTAGCAACCTTGGTCATGGTCATCTAGACCACCCAAGAGATGTCTCTGTTTTCAAACTTCTTATCAGAGTTTGTGGGCTCAGTCCCTTCTCTTCTTAACCTTAACCCAAATCCCTTTGGCAAATTGGTTCCACATACTCTCCAGGGTTCTGCCTACCGATGATTCTCAGGAATGACAGCCTTCAACAAGATAGCTACCCCAGGACTTTGGGTGCCTACTCACCTTACTTTTCCATATGTAAAGAGGGGTCGTCAGGTCACCCTGAGCCACACAGATTTAGGCATTCTGGAAAATTTACTTGGCATGTACCCTGTTAGGGATTTTGCAGGCAAGGTTTTAATTTAAAAATAAAGGATTTTAGTTTTCTCAATTTTTCTAAGAAACAATAATCAGTATATTTATTTCATTTATTTGTTTTAAACTTTTTGAATATGAAATACAGCAAATATGCATGGTAAAAAACACAATATATAGTTTAGCAAATAACTCTAAAGGAAATACACACGTAATCACCAACATGTCAAGAACTGGAACATTGCCAATACTCAGTACCTGCTTCCAAATCATAATTTCCTCCCCTAGAAGAAATCATCTTGTGATAATCATTTTTTTGCTTTTCTTTGTAATTATATCACCTATGTATATATCCCTAAACAATATAGTTTTAAGTTTTTTAATTTCATACATATAGAATCATACTTTTGCATTTTGTGTTTTGCTTCTTTTGCTCAACTTGTTTGTGAGATGCATCCACGTGGCGGCCTCACTTATTTTCGTTGCCAACAGTGTTTCATGGTATGGCTGTGTCACAATAGATGTATTCATCCTGTGGTTGATGGATACTTGAGTTGCTTATAGTTTCTGACTGCCAAGTACATCCTTAGATATTTTCTGATGTATTTGAACAAGTTTCTTTAGGTTATATATGTTAGAGTACAATTGCTTTACTAGATAGTGTCGAACAGTTTACTTTCCTACCAGGAGTATATGAGAGTTCCAGTTGCTTCATATCCTGGCAAATAGTTGCTTTTATTGGTTTTAATATTTTAACTATTTTCATGTGTGTGTCTTGATATTTCTTGTGGTTTTAACTTGCTCTCCTTGGTTACTCTTGAGGTTGAGCACTTTTTTCTTTTTTCTTTTTTTTGGAAACAGGGTCTTGCTTTGTCACCCAGGCTGGATTGCAGTGGCGTGATCATGGCTTACTGTAGCCTCAACCTCCTAGGCTCAAGAGATCTCTCCCACCTCAGCCCCCTGAGCAGCTGGGACAGCCAGATAATTATTTTATTTTTTTTTGTAGAGACCAGGTCTTGCCATATTTTCCAGGCTGGTCTCAAACTCCTGGACTCAAACTATTCTCCCATGTCAGCCTCCCCAAGTGCTGGGATTACAGGTGTGAGCTACCATGCCCAGCCCTTGAGCAGTTTTTTGTTGGTTAATTGGATTGCCTCTTTTGTGAACTGTCTATTCATGTCTCTTGCCATTTTTAAATTTTTTAAATTGATTTTTCAATAAGGAAATATATATATATATATATATATATATATATATATGGCTCTCTTTTCACCCTCTTAAATGGTGATATCTTCGATCCCATTCTGTAGAAGCAGGGCATAAAATAGAGATTCTTGTTCAAGTGAGACTGTGGGAGAAGCCCTCAGGAAGAGGAGTATGAGGAAAGCTGGATTGGGGGAGGAGAGGCACAGCCTGGTGAGGGGGCAGTTGCAGTTTTCTGGAGAAAGGGACATCTGTGAGTTGTTCTCAGCTGACACCACATCTCAGTGACAGGTGTGCTAACCAGTAAAGATGATCTGGATGGAACCAGTAGTATTCTCCACAGTCCACTTCTTGTACCATACAGATAGGCTTGCTTCTTATATTAAGTTCACTGTATCCAGGTACAGCTTCTCCAGGATTCTGGTTAGTCACAAATCCTGGGAAAACTTATAAGAGGAAGATTAGTGAGACAAATTACAACCCTTGCTGCTGCAGTTGGTCCAGAAATCTAACAAATACCCATATCATCCTCTTCCACCATCCATTTTAGTTTCCCCTTCTTTGTCCCTTGAATGTATGATAGAACTTGGTGATGAAGCCACCTGGGCTCGCAGGTGTGTTTTCTTTGCAATCTTATTTTTGACCACAGACTCAATGTCTTTAATGGTTCTAGGGTGATTTTGTTTTTATAATTTCTTAACTAAGTAATATTTTCCTAGGAGTTTATCCCTTCATATTTACTTATATAAAGTTGTTTATAATTTTTTTTTTTTTTTTTGAGACGGAGTCTTGCCCTGTCGCCAGGCTGGACTGCAGTGGCGCAATCTCAGCTCACTGCAACCTCCGCCTTCCGGTTTCAAGCGATTCTCCTGCCTCAGCCTCCTGAGTAGCTGGGACTACAGGCACGTGCCACCACGCCCAGCTAATTTTTTGTATTTTTAGTAGAGACGGAGTTTCACCACGTTGGTCTGGATGGTCTCCATCTCTTGACCTCGTGATTCACCTGCCTCAGCCTCCCAAAGTGCTGGGATTACAGGCGTGAGCCACCGCACCTGGCCGTTTATAATATTTTCTTATCATTTGGTGTACAGCATCTATAGAGATATCCCCTCTTTCATTCTGATTTCATTTTAATGCTTTTTTTTCCTTCTTCTTTGGTTTTAGTAGAGGTTCTTTTCAGAGAACCTGCTCTTATCATCAGTGATAGTCTTCATAATAAATTTGTTTTCTGTTTCATAAGTTCTGCTCTGTTCTTTATTTTTCTCTTCTATTTTCCTTGGATTTATTTTGTTCTTTTTCTGACTTCTTGAAATTGATGTTTAGTTTCATTAATTTTTATCTTTTTGATTCTCTCTATTTAAGGTTATACATTTTTTTCCAAATTCTGTTTCAGCAGGAGTTCACAAGTTTTGATATGTGGTATCTCTGTTGTTTATTTCTTTTCTTTTTTTTTTCCGAGACAGACTTTCACTCTTGTTGCCCAGGCTGGAGTGCAATGGCACAATCTCGGCTCACTGCAACCTCCACCTCCCGGGTTCAAGGGATTATCCTGCCTCCTCAGCCTCCCAAGTAGCTGGGATTGCATGCATGCGCCACCATGCCCAGCTAATGTTTTTGTATTTTAGTAGAGACAGGGTTTTACCATGTTGCTCAGGCGGGTCTCGAACTCCTTACCTCAGGTGTTCCACCTGCCTTGGCCTCCCAAAATGCTGGGATACAGGCATGAGCCACTGCGCCCAGCCTTCTTTGTTGTTTATTTCTAAAAATATTCTAATTTCCATTGTAATTCTTTTTCTTTAACCAATAGATATTATATTCGAGAAATGTGTTTTGTAATATCCAAACATACTAACATTTTCTAATTATCCTTTATTTATGACTAATTATGACTGTGGTCAGTGAGCTTGTTCTGTTTTTGGTTGGTTGGTTTGTTTGTTTTTGAGACAGTCTCACTGTCTCCCACATTGGAGTACAGTGGTGTGATCATAGCTAACTGCAGCCTTGAACTCCTGGCTCAAGCAATCCTCCTGCTTCAGTCTCCCCAGGTAGCTGGAAGGACTACAGGTGTGAGCCACTGTGCTCGAAGCTGTATAATTTTAATCCTTTGAAATTTCTTGATACTTCTGTTAGAGCTCTGTTTATGGTCAGTTTTTATAAATGTTCCATGTGTGTTTGAAAGTAAAATGTATTCTACAGTTATTGGATTCAATGTCCAATGAAATGCCATTAGATCAAGTTTGTTAATGGTGTTCAAATCTTCTTTATCCTTACTGGGTGTTTTTTTTTTTCCTATGAATTATAGAGGGATGTGTTTAAATATCCAAGTATAATTATGAATTTGTCTACTTCATCTTTTAATTTTTTTTTTTTTTTTTGCTTTATATCTGTAAGGCCGTATTATCAGGTGCATATACAAATATAAAGTTGTTTTATCTTCTTAATTCTTAATTCTTAATTCACTTTTTATCATTATGAAGCTGCCTTTTTTGTTTCTAATAATTTTTTTTTTTGCCTTATACTTTACCTGATAGTGTAATCTTTTTAAAAATCTACACAAGGTATTTTTTTTCCATTAGTTGCATCTTTTCTGTAACTGTGTTTTAGGTAAGTCTCTTATGAATAGCATATAATTGGGTTTTGGTTTTTTAAACCCTGGGAAAACTTATAAGGAAGTTTTAAAGTCAGGGAAAACCCTGACTTTCTCTGTCTTTTAATTAGAACATTTAGTCCATTTTCATTAATAGCACCACTGATGTATTTTTGTTTAGGTCTGCCTTATTTTATGCTCTCAATCTGTTTGTCCTGACAGTTCTCCATTTCATTACAGCTGTCTTCCCTTCTTTGGAGCTATTTTTCATCATTCACCTTTTTTTTCTACTAATGTGGATGTTATACACTTTTTCTTAATGGTTATGCTTGAAATTTCAATTTGACCAAAGTTGATAGATTTCCGTTATAAGTGGTGAATATCCTTGCTCTTTTGGACAGACAGTACAGCGACCTTAGACCACATGAACTCCGACCTTAGACCACATGAACTCTGACCTTAGACCACATGAACTCCGACCTTAGACCACGTGAACTCCGACCTTAGACCACATGAACTCCGTTTATCCTTTTTCCACCTTAGGGTAGAGGAGATGTAAATACAATGTATCAACTTTGATTGGAGTCTTACTAGCCTACAGAGAGAAAAAGGAAGAGAGTAAATAATTTACCTGAGAAAACAAAGTAAATTGGTTTCTTGAAAACAAAGTAAATTGGGTGGGTGGGGATGTGTGCCAGTGGCTCACACCTGTAATCCCAGCACTTTAGGAGGCTGAGGTGGGCGGTTTGCCTGAGGTCAGGAGTTCGAGACCAGCCTGGCCAGCACGGTGAAACCCCATCTCTACTAAAAATACAAAAATTAGTCAGGCGTGGTGGCAGGCGGCTGTAATCCCAGCTACCCGAGAAGCTGAGGCAGGAGAATCACTTGAATCCAGGAGGTGGCAGTTGCAGTGAGCCAAGATCGCGCCATTGTACTCCAGTTTGGGCAACAGAGCAAGACTCCATCTCAAAAATAATAATAATAATAATTTACTTGAGAAAACTGTCAGGATTTGTTTGCTTGTAGGTGATCAGCTTAAAGTATCTGAACTTGAAAAAGAACATCAGTTGGCTTTAAAAAGAAAATGTTACTGTGTCCCTGGCCCTTTGATCTCTTGCAGTCTCTCACCTTAATTGTCTGAGTTTGGCTTCATTCCTCATATGGACTCTTTTGAGTTGCCCCATTCCTTGCAAGAGGATGGGGGATTCTTACTGTCTTCTTTGGGTCAAGTATCCATCCTGTGAGGTAGAGGACTGCAACACTCTCAGTGGCAGCCCCAGCAGGACTAAATAGAGTAGAAGCGGGGTTCCCCTGAGGACGCAGAAGAGGGAAGGTGCTGGGCAGACATAGCTAAGGTCAGGTGCAGTGGCTCATGCCTGGAATCCCAGCACTTTGGGAGGCCGAGGCGGACAGATCACCTGAGGTCAGGAGTTCAAGACCAGCCTGGCCAACATGGTGAAACCCCATCTCTACTAAAAATGCAAAAATTAGCCAGGCATGGTGCCTCCTAGTTCCTTTCTTGGAGTACTGGGGTTCCTAACTTGTGAAGTGATGATATAGGAACTTCTAGCCCCACCATCACATATATATAAACTCACAGATCATGAAATAAGAATGAATTTGATCCTGCAATTGTTATGCACTAAAATATTACCACACAATAAATGTTTACTCATAGGAATTGAGGATAAGCATACTACGTTTTGGTTGTTATAAGTGCTCATTAAGACGATATGTAAGGCTGGGCATGGTGGCTCACGCCTATAATCCCAGCACTTTGGGAGGCTGAGGCAGGAGGATCGCTTGAGCCCAGGACTTTGAGACTAGCCTGGGCAACATAGTGAGACCTCATCTCTAAAAAAAAAAAAAAAAATTTAGCTGGGTGTGGTAGCGTGTGCCCATAGTCCCAGCTACTCAGGAGGCTGAGGCTGGAAGATCACTTGAGCCCAGGAGATTGAGGCTGTAGTGAGCCAAGATCACATCACTGCACTCCAATCTGGGTGACAAAGCAAGACCTTGTCTCAAAAAAAAAAAAGAAAAAAAGAAAAAAAAAAGACATGTAAAAAGCACCTGGCATTTAGTAAGCCCTCAAAACACCCTTGCCTGCCCCTTCAAGGACATGCAATAAATTTATGTGAGAATCAGTACTAAAACCTGGATCTGGGGACCCCCCTGCAACTCCCCTTCTGTCTCCTAAGTAAACCAAAATGAACAGGCAGTGCATTGAAAGGAGAGAGGGTCCTTATGGCTCCAAGCCCACTCAGAAAGCACCATCAGAACACAGCTTTCTGGTTTATGTCATCAAATTTCAAAGCTGAAAATAAGAAACAGATGGTTATTTCTCACGCTGAAGAGAGCTACGGTTTGAAGAAATGATGAAAAGCCCAGCTGAAGTTTTTCTCATCTTCAAATTTAAGTTTTGTCTCATTTCCGATGGTGTGTGTAGGTGTGTGTACAGGGCTCTTTGGGGTTATAATATTTTACTATTACTTTAGAACAGTTTACTCCACAAAGCTAGGGACATTTACTTTGATTTGAAGAAAGATTTTAAATCATTAATCCATTACAGTTGCTCAGTTAATACAGTTTGTAGTTATTTACGCTGTGCCTGTGAGGCTTGTGTGCCTCATAATGTTGGAAGAGAAATTTTTTCTTTTCCTGTCAATACTAAATAGGGTTCTGAGCAGCCCTTGATTTTTTTTTCCACTTTTTTTTTTTTTTTTTCCGAGACAGAGTCTCACTTTGTTGTCCAAGCTGCAGTGCAGTGGTGTGATCTCAGCTCACTGCAACCTCCACCTCCCAGGTTCAAGCGATTCTCTGCCTCAGCCTCCCAAGTAGCTGGGATTACAGGTGCCCACCACTATGCCTGGCTAATCTTACTTTTTTATTAGAAACTAAATTCCAACACTTTGATACTAGTATGGCCCTCTGTAGGTAGAAAGTGTGTTTCCCTTGTTATACAAATGTGAAACAAGAGTTAAGTCACCTGCCGTCATGATTAGTCTGCAAGGGAGAGGCAGAGCCCAAACTAGAGTGTGAATGAAGCCTGTTGGGTCCCTTTTGTCAGAGTCATTTCAGCACGCATAGGGCCTTTTGTGCTGGGACTCATGGCAGCTCCCCATGGTCCCCCAAATTAACTAGAAACTGTTTACCTTTGGCTAAGGGTGTTCCATGTGAACTAATACAGGTGGCCTTTCTCACTGATCCCTTCAGACTCCTGGAGCTGCAGCCAGACTGAACCTCCCAACATGTCCTAAGCCCAGCTGAAGGTTTTCTACCTCAGGAGCTTTTGCTGATGCTGTTTCCTCTGCTATAGCCCCCTTTCTTCCTCCTCTGAATGTCCCAGTCCTATGCAAATTTCAGAGTCCAGTTCAGATACCAGCTCCTCCATGAAGCTTGGCTTAGTGGTTAAAAACAAGAGTCTCTGGGGACGGGCTGGGCTTCAGTGGTTCTGCACCTCTCTAACGAGTGATTGGGGCAAGCCATTTGTCACATAAGTTTAGTTTCTTGAACTGAAAAATGAAGACAGTATTAATTTCAGTCATTGCTTCTCAAATTTAGGGTGCACATCAGTTCCCTGGTGATGTTGTTAAAATGCCAAATCTGATCCAGGAGGTACACGGTGGTGCCCAATGTCTGCCACTTCTAACAAGCTCCTAGGTCCTGGGAGCACATTTTGAGTTGTAAGGCTTGAAGAGATCTTCAGGGAATAGGATGAAATAATGCATGAAAAGCACTTAATATTGTGCCCCTCAAATAGCAGTACTGAGTAAAAGCTACCTGCTGCTGTTTTTGTTGTCTTCCATTATTATTGGTTTGTTTCCCTAGCTGGAGGTCACATTTTTGTTCTTTAAACAAGGGCTTTCCCTTTTTTATGGCACTGTGTTAGTCTGTGCTCACGCTGCCATGAAGAAATATCTGAGACTAATTTATAAAGAAAAGAGGTTTAATTGACTCACAGTTCCACATGGCTGGGGAGGCCTCAGGAAACTTACAATCATGGTGAAAGGCACCTCTTCACAGGGTGGCAGGAGAGAGATGAGTGCAAGCAGGGGAAATTCCAGAGACTTATAAAAGCATCAGATCTCATGGGACTCACTATCACGAGAACAGCATGGGGGAAACCGTGCCCCATGATCCAATTACCTCTACATGGTCCCTCCCCTGACAAATGGGGATTGTGGGAATTATAATTCAAGATGATATTTTGGGCGGGGACACAGCCAAACCATATCATTCTGCCCCTGGGCCCTCCCAAATTTCATGTCTTCATATTTCAAAACACTGTCATTCCTTTCCAACAGTACCCCAAAGTCTTAACTCATTCCAGCATTAACCCAAAAGTCCAGGTCCAAAGTCTCATCTGAGACAAGGCAAGTCCCTTCTGCCTATGAGCCTGTAAAATCAAAGGCAAGCTAGTTACTTCCTAAATACAGTGGGGGTACAGACATTGGGTAAATATACCCACTCCAAATGGGAGAGATTGGCCAAAGGGGCTACAGGCCCTATGCAAGTCCAAAATCCAATAGGTTAGTTATTAAACCTTAAAGTTCCAAAATGATCTCCTTTGACTGCATGTCTCATATCCAGGTTATGCTGATGCAAAAGGTGGGCTCCCAGCCTTGGGCAGCTCCACCCCTGTGGCTTTGCAGGATACAACCCACCTCCTGGCTGCTTTCACAGGCTGGTGTTGAGTGTCTGCAGCTTTTCCAGGCACATGATGCAAGCTCTCAGTGGATCTGCCATTGTGGGGTCTGGAGGATGGTGACCTTCTTCTCACAGCTCCACTGGGCAGTGCCCCCGTGGAGACTCTGTGTGGGGGCCCCGACCCCACATTTCCCTTCTATACTGCCCAAGCAGGTGTTCTCCATGAGGGCTCCACCCCTGCAGCAAACTTCTTCCTGGACATCCAGCTGTTTCCATACATGCTCTAAAATCTAAGTAGAGGTTTCTATACCTCAGTTCTTGACTTCTGTGCACCCACAGGCTCAACACTATGTGGAAGCCACCAGTGAGTAGGGCTTGCACCCTCTGAAGCAATGGCCCAAGCTGTACCTTGGCCCCTTTTAGCCACTGCTGCAGCTGAAGCAGCTGGGATGCAGGGTACCATGTCCCAAGGCTGCACAGAGCAGAGGGTCCCTGTGCCTGGCCCAGGCCCATGGAACCATTTTTCCCTCCTAGGCCTTGGGCCTGTGATGGGAGGGGCTGCCTTGAAGTTCTCTGACATGCCCTGCAGACATTTTCCACATTATCTTGGTGATTAACATTCCTCATTACTTGTGCAAATTTCTGCATTGGGCTTGAATTTCTCCCCAGAAAATGGGGTTTTCTTTTCTATCACATCCAATAGGCCAGTCATTAAACCTTAAAATTCCGAAATGATCTCCTGCAAATTTTCCAAACTTTTATGCTCTGCTTCCTCTTGAATGCTTTGTCGTTTAGAAGTTTCTTCTGCCAGATACCCTGAATCATTTCTCTCAAGTTCAAAGTTCCACAGATCTCTAGGGGAGGGACAAAATGCTGTGAGTCTCTTTGCATAGCAAGAGTTACCTTTACTCCGGTTCCTAAGAAGTGGCTTATCTCCATCTGAGACCACCTCAGCCTGGACTTCATGGTCCATATCACTATCAGCATTTTGATCAAAGCCATTCAACAAGTCCCTAAGAAGCTCCAAACTTTCCCACATCTTCTTGTCTTCTGAGCCCTCTAAGTCTCTAGGAAGTTCCAGACTTTCCCACATTTTTCTGTCTTCTTCCGAGCCCTCCAAACCATTCCAGCCTCTGCCTGTTACCCAGTTCCAAAGTCGCTTCCACATTTCAGGTATCTTTACAGCAGCACCCCACTCTCTGTAGTACCAATTTACTGTATTAGTCTGTTCTCATGCTGCTGTTAAGAAATACCCACAACTAGGTAATTTATAAACAAAAGAGGTTTAATTGACTCACAGTTCTGCATGGCTGGGGAGGCCTCAGAAAACTTACAATCATGGCAGAAGGCACCTCTTCACGGGGTGGCAGGAGAGAGAATGAGTGCAAGCAGGGGAAATGCCAGATGGCTTATAAAACCATCAGATCTTGTGAGACTCACTCACTATCATGAGAACAGCATGGGGAACTGCCTTCATGATCTGATTATCTCTACTTGGTCACACCCCTGACACATGGGGATTATGGGGAGTATAATTCTAGATGAGATTTTGGGTGGGGACACAGCCAAACCATATCAGGCACTAAGCATTTTTCCCCTTGAATTGTGGGATTTCTTTGGTTTTCTTTTTGTCTTTTGGGTGTTTTTTGGTAGACATATCTTTGTTCTGCCAGACTTGAGAGCAGGGTCTTTATCTGATTCCCACTGACTCACAAGGTGCTAACCACTTGGTCTTATACACAGCAAGTGTTGAATACATACTTGGGTTCTTATTTACTTCTTTTTTTATTCCACAGGGATCTGTGTGGCAGCAGGGAATCTATTGCTAATGATTTGAGTAGTCTCAGCTATGCTAATATACCAGATAATGATGAGGGTGATTATTTATTCAGTAAATGATTGTTGAGCACCTGCTATGCGCCAGGCATAGTTCTGGGCATAGTGCAAAGCAGTGATGCAAAGTTTCTGCCCTTCAGGAGCTTACATTTTACTCAGGGGAGACAGACAATAAATGAAGGAAAACATTTAATTCCACAGGGAATTTCCTCCTAGAGGTGCCCAGGCTCTGTCACCTGGCGCTCTGGGTCCACAGGTGTGTTTCCCTTTTCCCGTGGTTCATCCCTGTGGAATAACTCAGCACTTCCTGTGTCCCCTCTGCCCCCTCACAGATCCACTCACACAAAAGAATTTGTGAGCGACCAAGACATTAGAGAGCTTACAGGGAGCCAAAGCAAGGGCTTCACTTTATACTCAACTGTTAATACCAAAGCGTTCCCCTGTTGCCACTTCCTCCCACCACACAGCTCCCAAGTGCAGATCCCTGAGGGATGTTTTTATTCCTGACCCCAGCCTGCCTGCCCATCTTGGTGCTTGGTGAACGGGCACATGGAGCCCACCCTTCCCAGAAGCAGTGGGAGTACAGACAGCAAATGAACAAAGCAGCAGCCTTCCTTCCAGTGCCTCACAGGTGCAGAGCTCTGGACAGTGCTGTGAGGGAGGTTGTTCCCACTTTCCCCTTTACAGATGTGTTTC
Source organism: Homo sapiens (assembly GCF_000001405.40). Classification (NCBI taxonomy): domain Eukaryota; kingdom Metazoa; phylum Chordata; class Mammalia; order Primates; family Hominidae; genus Homo; species Homo sapiens. The sequence continues at coordinate 37,562,004 of NC_000009.12, read as the reverse complement.
CATGTCATGCCGTTGAGATGTTAGACTGGCCAAGGGCTTGTTCATCAGATTGCTTCTCTCTCTTAACTCCTTCACCAGTGATCTCAGTCCATGCCATGGCTTTAAATGTCATTCAGGTCTCTATTCAAATGTCACTTCCTCAGAGACCTTCCTTGACAACCCTGTCTGAAATAGCACATGCATGCACATATACCCCTTAACCTGCTTTATTTCTCTTCATAGCATTTATGTTAATATCTTTTTCGTTTATTGTCTGTCTCTGAAGGTAGGGACTTTGCCTCATTTACTGCTTTTCAGTTCTTGGAACAATGCTTGGCACATAGGCAATCAACGAATGTTTGTTGAATAAATGATTTTTTTCTCTGGAAATTGTCAAAATCTGCATGAGGTGTATCAGGCCAGCCATTGTCAGCCTCAGTTTAGAGGCAAGGAAATAGGTTCAGAAAGGTTCAAGGACGTGCTGAAGTCACAGGGCGAGGCAGCAGCAGAGAGCCTGCTTGTTGAGAGCCAAGTCTTATGGGACTTGCCTCCTTCTCTCCCACTGAGGCTGGGGACACCAGGTGGCCCAGAGGCATGTGGATACCTCCAGTGGGAGGTTAGGAGAGTGCTACACAGAAACTCTGAGTTCTAACACTCTTGGGACCATAAAAAATGGAACAAGTCTGGGCATGGTAACTCACGCCTGTAATCACAGTATTTTGAGAGGCTAAGGTGGGAGGATCACTTGTGGCCAGGAGTTCGAGGCTGCAGTGAGCTATGATCCTGCCACTGTACTCCAGCCTGGGCAACACAGAGAGACCTCACTTCTTTAAAAAAAAAAAAAAAAAAAAAGTTGATTTTGTTTTGTTTTGTTTTGTTTTTTTGAGACGGAGTCTTGCTCTTTCGCCCAGGCTAGAGTGCAGTGGCACGATCTCGGCTCACTGCAAGCCCCGCCTCCTGGGTTCACACCATTCTTCTGTCTCAGCCTCCTGAGTAGCTGGGACTACAGGTGCCCACCACCATGCCCGGCTAATTTTTTGTATTTTTAGTAGAGACGGGGTTTCACCGTGTTAGCCTGGATGGTCTCAATCTCCTGACCTCATGATCTGCCTGCCTCGGCCTCCCAAAGTGCTGGGATTACAGGCATGAGCCACCGCGCCCAGCAAAATAAAAAGTTTTTTTAATCAAAAAACGGAACCACTTGGGGCCTACTTCAGGCCATACTCCCTCCATCCCAGACAGGCTTCCATCATTGTTTTTCCAGTTCTTTACAGGCATCACACTCCAGGTGCACAGGCTCTGGGGACATTTGTTACTTTTAATTCCACATGCAGAGGCCCCAGTGGTAAAACGGAAAGGCAAAACTTGAATGCATTAAAAAAAATAAAATAAAAAGTGTTACCTTGTTCTAAGAAGTCCCTGTTGTTTCATGAATCTCCATGGATTAGTGTAAAGATATAGTAAATAAAGCCAAATGGAATGATAGGAAATGTGCATGTGTGCTCGGAGTCAAGAGGGGGCAATTGTTGGCTTCATTCTAGATACAGAGCCCTGGAGTTGGGTACACAGGCAAGTTTGGGGGAAAACAAATGCTGAAGGGTTGACAGTAACCTGCTAGGAAATCCCCCTTCCCCTGAGAGGCCAGTGACTAAACCATGTGCTTCCTACTATAGGTGGGCTTCTTGGAACCCCAAGAAACCGAAGCTCCAGTAGTTTCTACGTCAGGTGGCTTGGCCCCAAATCCCCCAGACACCCTCACATCATCCTAAGGGAAAGAAATTACAATTAATATTTGCAAAATTGTGAGTTCCTGCCCTCACTGTTCCACCTAAATACCTCTCCTGGATGGATCTCCTTAAAATATAGCTCTGATCAGGCCACTTCCCTTCTGAGGAATCTATAATAGACAGTACAAGCTTCTTAGTCTGGCATTCAGGGCCTTTCCCATCATGCAACTTGTGAAAGAGGGTCGAGCACCAGTGGCTCCAAGGGGTCAGAACTGACACCACCTGGGGAAGAGTAGTGAAGTCAATCTCAAGGTGTCCGAGGGCTTTATAATAATGCCCTTTAGAGTTTCATATGCTCTTTCAGCCTCTGCTATGGTAACAAACAATCTGCAAGTTCTTAGTGCCTTAACCCAAACAAAGGTGTATTTTTCATGCATGGTGTTTGTCCATCTTGGCTTGGTCGGGATCTCTGCTTACTCTAATCATTTAAGGATCCAGGTTCCTAGAGTAACCGTCATCTCAAATGTTGCCAGTTGCTGTGCCACAGAGAAAAGCAAGCTGTGGATGATCCTGCATAGGCAATGAAGTGCTCTAGTCGAGAAGTAACGCACATCTCTTCTACTCAAAACCCATTGGTTAGTACTAGTCTTGTGGCCCCATTTGACCTCAGGAGGGATCAGATGTACAATCTTGTCATGTGCCCAGAAGGAAAGAAAACTGGAAGCAGTTGATGAAGAGCATTGATTCCCAATGTAATGTGCTTTCAATTTTTTAATCATCACAGCAAGCCTTTGGGTGCTATCAAGGTCCCCAATTTATATATGAGGAACCTGAGGCCCAGAGAGGTTAAGTGACTTGTTCAAGGTCACCTGCAACTTGACCCCAGGTCTTTTGGCTTTGAAATGATTGGTCTTTGCATGATACAGAGACAGCTGCTTCACTGAAAGGGTTGAAGCTGAGGAAGAAGGATGCTGCATCAAAGTGTGGGTGGGGCCCTTTATCACAATCACCAGGGAGCTTGTTAAAAATGCACATAATTGGTTCCACTCCAGAGATTCTGATTCTGGAGGTCTGAGATGAAGCTAGGAATAGGCCCCAGGTGATTCTCAGGTGATGACTGAAGAGCCACGATTAAAGAATCACTGCTATGGGAGGTCCTACTAAGTCTGGCTTAAAGATTTTCTTTTTTCGGCCAGGCGCGGTGGCTCATGCCTGTAATCCCAGCACTCTGGGAGGCCGAGGCGGGCGGATCACCTGAGGTCAGGAGTTCAAAACAAACCTGACCATGGTGAAACCTCGTCTCTACTAAAAATACAAAAAATTAGCCGGGCGTGGTGGTGCGCGTCTGTAATCGCAGCTACTCGGGAGGCTGAGGCAGGAGAATCAGTTAAACCTGGGAGGTGGAGGTTGCGGTGAGCTGAGGTCACACCATTGCACTCCAGCCTGGGCAACAAGAGCGAAACTCCATCTCAAAAAAAAAAAAAAGATTTTCTTTCTTCTTGATCTCTATAAGCTGCAGTAGTGCTTAATTCCTTCTATCTCACATTGTTATTAGCTATGACAGCAAATGGTTGCTATCACCTAATGGGTGATACATTAATTATTCACCTAAAATTTGAGGTGGGGGCATGATGGGGGCTCATTTCTGATTATTCGTTTACTTAAAAACACTGTTATTAAGCCTGTACTTTGTGCTGCATATTGGATGGTATGTGGGGTTCTTGCTGTATTCTCTGTAAGTGAATTATGATAGCCTAGGGTATTCATTATTGATGAGCTACTATGGGAAATGGGGGAAACCCATCTGGGAGAGAAATTGTCAGTGCTGGATACTATGGGATGTCACATGGGGCACACAATGCATTGACTGGGTTGAACACTTATATAGTAAAGTAAACTAGGCTCGAGTTGAGAAGCAGAGATGCATTTATGAGGGTTGGTGGTTGCAATTTGGGTCTCTCTTATTCCAAGTCCCTCCTGAGACTTGGAATACCAACCATTAGCAATAGATCCCAGGAGAACCCTAATGGAAAGTCCTGCAAAAGACCATATGGAAGCCTCTCACCTGGAAGGTGGTATAGATTAGGTTCCTTTAGTGTTAGCTGATTCACTCTTGAACACCTGTCAGAGTTGCCCCTTGTAGAAGGAAAGAACATCATGGATAAAGCATCTCAGAAAGTGCGCAGTATATGGTGCTCCCTGAAAGAAGAGTATATGGTTATACTCAGAGGAGCTCAGAAATCAAGAGCAGCCTGTGGGGACGATGAGAATACAGATTCTAACAAGTACGTCAAAGCTCTTAGCAATGATTAAAAATACTCCTTTCAGATGCAGCAGTTGGTCCTGGTTAAGATGAGATCGCCCACTGGGAGGAAATGTTTGGGTAGTTGATGGTTAGCATACTTTCATATGGAAGGTTATGAAAATGGGGATAATGATGTCCTTCTGGTGGTTTTAAATTGAAGTGGCTAAATAATAAGGAAAAAAATGAAACCAGGACAGCTAGAAAAGTATTATAGATGAGCCCCTCTTTATAGGGAAATAGATAAGAAATGTAGAAAGATAAATGTAAACCATGTGGGGACATAGTATGTAAGCTGTTATGTGGGAGGGAGATTATCTGAGCTAGCTAGAAATGGACTTTGTGAACGGTCAAGGCCAGCTAGATGAAATGTAATATGTGAAGTCACTGAATTCAGAGTACCACGTATAGGTCACCAAAACTTTATGGAAAGACAGCAAAATAACATTTTAAAATTACTTCTCAAGTGAGGCAAGCCAAGAACATGGTTGGAGGAGAGGTCCTAACTGAGGCTGAACTGCATCTACCCCACTCAGGTCCTGGCAGAGCTCCTTCCTCATGAGAATGACTTTGTGAGGAGAAAAGCAACATTCAAATTAAGAAAAGAATAATCAGAGGCAGAGCCATCCAAGGCCTCCGAAGGGGTAAAGAGGTCTGGGGTAAGGCTCAGAAGGGATGTAGAGTGCAAGGATATGAAGTTGTGAGGGAAAGAGTGAGTTACGTGAGAGTTCAATATAAAAGGGTTCATTTGAGCTGCCAGAGGTACTACTGTCTTGTGATGATGGTCGGGTCAATTGTAAGTAATCATAAATCATCACTTATTGGCATCATTGCCTGAAAGAACCCATAGCCTGGGAAAAATCAGAATCCTACTCTCATAGTGCATGGACACGTAGACCCAGTATTGGAATAATGTAGGCACCCTGTAGCTAAGAATGCTCTCCTTGTCTTTTCTGTTGCCCTGAATAGTTGTAATAGAGAAAGGAGTCAACACCAGGTATTGAGTCTTCAGAGAGAAAAGTACCCAGTCCCTATCGTAAACAATCCAGTGGAGGATGCAAAAGGCTTAGAAACAATGACCAAGCCAGTAGAAAAAGCATGTCTAATATCCAGATTGTGGTTTTGACATATTCCATTAAAGAATACAGAACAGGCTGGATGCGGTGGCTCACGCCTGTAATCCCAGCACTTTGGGAGGACAAGACGGACAGATCACCTGATGTCAGGAGTTCAAAACCAGCCTGGCCAACATGGTGAAACCCCCATATCTACTAAAAATACAAAAATTAGCCGGGCGTGGCGGCACACACCTGTAATCCCAGCTACTTGGGAGGCTGAGGTAGGAGAATGGCTTGAACTCAGGAGGCAGAAGTTGCAGTGAGCCGAGATTGTGCCACTGCACTCCAGACTGGGCAAAAGAGAGAGACTCTGTCTCAAAAAAAAAAAAAAAAAAAAAAAAAAAATCCAGAACAAAAATATCCTCAACTGATTTATCATTTTTTGACAAAAGTACAAAAGCAGTTCAATGGAGAAAGGATAACCTTTTTAACAAATGGTCCTGGGACAGTTGGATAACCATAGGCTAAAAAGAAAAACTTCAACTTACACTTCAATAAGAAATTAACTCAAGATGGACCATAGGCTTAAGTATACAGTGTAAACTATAAAACTTTTAGAAAAAAACACAGGAAAAAATCTTTAGGATCTAGAGCTAGGTAAAAAGTTCTTAAACTTGATACCAAAAGCATAATGCATAAAAGGAAAAAAAGTGTCAAAAATGTGGTGATACTGTGGTGCTGGCATAAGGATTGACAAGTAGATCAATGAAACAAATAGTCCAGAAATAATCCCACACTACCATTGTTTGTTTTTTTTGAAAAAGGCACCAAAGCAACCCAATAAGGAAAGGAGACTGTTTTCAACAAATGGTGCTAGAATAACTTGATATCCACATAGAAAAAGAATGAACCTCAACCACTACCTCATACCATAACAAAAATTAATTCATGATGGATCATAGAACAGTATGTAAAAGTCAAAACCACAAAGCTTTTAGACAAGAGATTATATCCATGACTTAGGAATTAACAAAGCTTTCTCAGACAGATAGAAGAAAATAATCATAAAAAGAAAGAAATGGTAAGTTAGACTTCATCAAAATTAAAAACTTCTCATCAAAAGATTCCATTAAGACAATGAAAAGGCAAACCACAGATTGGGAGAAAATATTCAAAGAACATGTATCTGGCAAAGGACATATAAAGAAGTCCTATAATTAAATATATATTAAAAAAAACAATTAAAAACAGACAAAAGGACCAGGCGCAGTGGCTCACGCCTGTAATCCCAGTGCTTTGGGAGGCCAAGGTGGGTGGATCACCTGTGGTCAGGAGTTTGAGACCAGCCTGGCCAACATGATGAAATCCCATCTCTACTAAAAATACAAAAATTAGCTGGGCATGGTGGCGAGCGCCTGTAATCCCAGCTACTCGGGAGGCTGAGGCAGGAGAATCGCTTGAACCTGGGAGGTGGAGGTTGGAGGTTGCGGTGAGCCGAGATTGCACCACTGGGCTTCAGCCAGGATGACAAGAGCAAAACTCCGTCTGAAAAAAAAAAGACAAAAGATTTGAACAAGTACTTCAAAAAGGAGATATATGAATGGCCAATGATCACATGCAAAAAATCTCAACATCGTGTATTATGAAGAAAATGCAAATTAAAACCAAAATGATATACCATTACATACCCACCAGAATGATAAAATTTTAAAAACCAGCAACAGCCTGGGCATGGTGGTTTACTCCTATAGTCCCAGCACTTTGGGAGGCCGAGGCAGCAGGATCACTTGAGCCTGGGAATTCGAGGTTGCAATGAACTGTGATCACACCACAGCACTCCAGCCTGGGTGACAAAGTGTGACCCTGCAAAAAACAAACAAAAACACCACAACAAATGTGGAGCAACTGTGTTTCTTATTCTTTCTTGGTAGGCGTGTAAAATAGTATAGCCTCTCTGGGAAAAGAACCTAGGAATTCCACTCCTAAGTATTGACTCAAGAAAAATTAAAACGTGTCCACAAAAACACTTATATAAGAATATTCACAGCAGCATTATCCATAATAGCCCCAAACTGAAAGTAATTCAGGTTTCCATCGAGGAGAATTAATTTTTTTTAAACTGTGATATATTAACACTTAATACAATGAAATACTACTGAGCAGTTAAAAAGTAAACTACATGCAATGAAATGAATGAATCTCAAAATATTATGCTGAATGAAAGAAGCCTTACACAGAAGAATACATACTGCATGATCCCATTTATATGCAATTCTAGAACAGACAAAACTAATCTGTAGTAGAAAATCATGATAGTAGGAATTTGAGGAGATAAGAGAAAAGAAAACAGTGGTTGCCTCTTGGGGTCGGGGGTGGAACTTGATGGAAGAGTCATGAGAGAACTTTCTGGAGTATTCCATTTCTTGGTAGGGGGTTGTATTGCACATATGAATGCATCTGTCAATTCTGCAAATACACACTACTGGATATGGTACATCCATAGCACGAAATAGTCCTCAGCATCATAAACAAACTATTGATGCACACCACAAGTAGGATGAGCCTCCATCGAATTACACTGAATGAAAAAAAGCCAGTCTCAATAGGTGACACACTGTATAATTCCACTTATATAACATTTTTGACATGATACAGTTTTAGAACTGGAGGACAGATTAATGGTTGCCAGTGGTTAGGGACAGGAGAGAGGAGGGAGAATTGAGACGTGTATAGTTACAAAAGGGCAACACAAGGGATCCATATGGTGTTGGAACTGTTCACCGTCTTTACTGGTCATAGATACACAAAGTTACACAGGTGATAAAATTGTATAGAACTTAATACACATACACAAGTGAGTACAAGTAAAACTGGAGAAATCTAAATTAGACCTTGGACTATATCAATGTCACCATGCTAGTGGGATATTATACTATAGTTTTGCAAAATGTTACCATTGGGGTAAACCAAGCAAAGGATCTCTATTCTTTCTTTCTTTCTTTTTTTTTTTTTTTTTTTTTTTGAGGCAGACTTTCGCTCTTTTTGCCCGGGCTGGAGTGCAATGCCATGATCTCGGCTCACCGCAACCTCTGCCTCCCAGGTTCAAGCGATTCTCCTGCCTCAGCCTCCCTAAGTAGCTGGGATTACAGGCATGTGCCACCACGCCTGGCTAATTTTTTTTTTTTTTGTATTTTTAGTAGAGACGGGGTTTCTCCATGTTGGTCAGGCTGGTCTCGAACTCCCGACCTCTGGTGATCTGCCCGCCTCGGCCTCCCAAAGTGCTGGGATTCCAGGCATGAGCCACCGTGCCTGGCCAGGATCTCTATTATTTCTTATAACTGCATGTGAATCTACAATTTTCTCAATGAACATTTTTTAAAGACAACTTCTTAAAGAAAGAAGCTGTTATGCTATCTAGCCATACCACATAGCAAGGAAGCTATCAGAGGGTACAGGGGTTGTGCCAGGAGGACTGAGGAACCAATGTGGGGCCAAAGATAGCTTAATTTGAACTTTAATAAAAGTAGGGATTTCAAAGACTTGAAACCCATAAAATACGTGTCAGTCCATGACTTCATAACAATTTAAAAACATACATGTGGCCGGGCGCGGTGGCTCACGCCTGTAATCCCAGCACTTTGGGAGGCTGAGGCAGGTGGATCATGAGGTCAAGAGATCGAGACCATCTGGCCAACATGGTGAAACCCTGTCTCTACTAAAAATACAAAAATTAGCTGGGCATGGTGGCGCGTGCCTGTAGTCCCAGCTACTCGGGAGGCTGAGGCAGGAGAATTGCTTGAAGCCAGGAGGCAGAGGTTGCAGTGAGCTGAGATTGCACCACTACACTCCAGCCTGGTGACAGAGCGAGACTCCATCTCAAAAAAAATACACACACACACACACACACACACACACACACACACACAACCTGAATTGGTCACTGCTGTGGTCTGAATATGTCCCCCCCAAAATGTATGTATTGGAAACCTAATCCCCAATGCAACAGTGTTGGGAGGTAAAAGGTCATAAGGGCTCTTCCTTATGAATGGAAGGGTTTGTGGGGATGCATTTGCCATCCTTCTGCAGTGTGCAGACACATATTTTCATCCCTCTTGCTTTTCTACCTTCCACCATCTAAGAACAGAGCAAGGACGTCCTCACCAGGTGCCAGCACCTTGATCTTGGACTTCCCAGGCTCCAGAACTGTGAAAAATAAATGTCTGTTCTTTTTTTTTTTTTTTTTTTTTGATATGGAGTCTCGCTCTGTCACACAGACTGGAGTGCAGTGGCGCAATCTCGGCTCACTGCCAGCTCTGCCTCCTGGGTTCCTGCCGGTCTCTTGCCTCAGCCTCCCGAGTAGCTGGGACTACAGGCGCCCACCACCATGCCCGGCTAATTTTTGTGCGTGTGTGTGTTTTCAGTAGAGACGGGGTTTCACCGTGTCAGCCAGGATGGTCTCGATCTCCTGACCTCGTGATCCTCCTGCCTCGGCCTCCCAAAGTGCTGGGATTACAAGCGTGAGCCACCTCGCCCAGCCATAAGTGTCTGTTCTTTACAGATTAGTCAGATTCAAGAATTCCGACATGGTTGCACTAAACAGACTAAGACATAAATTGGTACTGGAGGAGTGGGGTGTTGCTATAACAAATACCTAAAAATGTAGAAGCAACTTGGAAACGGATAATGCATAGAGGCTGGAACAGTTTTGAAGCAAATGCTGGAAAATCCTTCATTGACATGAATGCCACATTAAGGGTGGTTCTGGCCAGGGCCTGGGGAAAGAAGGGATATAGGAGAAGCCTTGTTCTTCTTACAGATTGCTTGAGTAGTTGCAACAGTGAAGGCTAGTCTGATGAGGTCTCAGACAGAAATGAGGAACAAGGTATTGGAAATTGGAAGAAAGGTTATCTTTCTTATAAAGTGGCAAAGAACTTGGCTGAATCAATGTCTGTGTCCTAGGACTCTGTAGAAGGCAGAAAGGAGAGAAAGCTAGAAAAGCTAGGTGATTTGGCAGAAGAAATCTCTAAGCAGCAGAGCATTCACGATGTTGCATGGCTGCTTCTAACTGCTTATAGTAAAATGGGAAAAGAAAGAAGGATTTAAAGACAATTTATAATTAAAAGGGAAGCAGAACACAAAGATTTGAAAAACTCTCAGTTCTGGTTATGTAAAGAATTTTTTAAATGGTTTAGAAGAGAAAACCAAGGGTGTGGCCAAGTGACCATTTGATTTTCAAGGCTGCTTGTGCCGTCACTTCAATGCTAGTGCTATGAGGGCAAACCAGCTTAAAGGGCCAGGCCCGGGGCACTCTTGGAACCTTGGAGCTCATTGCTCAGGGATGCTTCAGGCCTCTGTTCCCTGGTCACCCCACCTGTGGCTCAAGCAGGCCCAGGTGTGGCTGGGCTACAGAACCCAGGGCACAAGCAGTCTACCTTGGTGCTATCCCCGTGGGGCTAACTGTAGACTTGCAGAGTACAAGAGCTGTGGAGGCTTGTGTGCCTCTACCTAGATTTCAAAGGATGCTGCAGGGAGCCCCTATTTGGGCATTACCTAGTGGAGTCTTGGAAGCAGGGCTGCCCCCAAGACTCCAGACCTGTAGAGCCACCAGCACACAGCACCAGCCTGGGAAAGCCACAGGTATTGACTGCAACCCTTCAGAGCTGTGTGGGCTATGTCCAGCAATGCTGTGGAGGCAGGGCTTTCCAGGGCCTTGGAGACCCAGCCCCCAACACGTTGTGTCCAGAAAGTTGGACATGGAGTCGAAGAAGATTATTGTCCAGCCTTAAGATTTAGTGTTGTTTGCTCTGTTCTGGACATACTTCAGGCCAGTGACTTTTTTCTTCTTGTCTGTTTCTCTCTTGCAATGGGAATGTCTGTCCTGTGCTATCCCACCACTGTATTTTGGAAGCACATAGCTTGTTTGATTTTATAGGCTCACAGCTGGAGGGGAATTTGCCTCAGGATGAATCATGCCTTGACTGTCATCCATATCTGGTTTAGATGAGACTGTGGACTTAGACTTTAAAACTGATGCTGGAACAAGTTAAGACTTTTTGGGGCTATTGGGATGGATGCACTTTGCATGTGAGAAGAACATGAATTTTGAGAGCCAGTCACCTTCAGAGAACAACAGGGAACCCATTCATTATCTTGAGAACTGAGAAATAGGCTGGGTGTGGTGCCTATAATCGCAGCACTTTGAGAGGCCGAGGTAGGTGGATCACTTGAGGCCAGGAGTTCAAGACCAGCCTGGCCAACATGGGTAAACCCCATCTCTACAAAAACTACAAAAATTAGCCAGGTGTGTGGTGCAGGCCTGTAGTCCCAGCAACTTGGGAGGCTGAGGCAGAGAATCGCTTGAACCTGGGAGGCTGAGGTTACAGTGAGCCAAGATTGCGCCACTGCACTCCAGCCTGGGCAACAGAGTGAGACTCTGTCTCAAAAAAAAAAAAAAGGCCAGGTGCAGTGGCTCATGCCTGTAATCCCAGCACTTTAGGAGGCTGAGGCGGGCCGATCACTTGAGGTCAGGAGTTTGAGACCAGCCTGGCCAACACGATGAAACCCCATCTCCCTACTAAAAATACAAAAATTAGCTGGGCATTGTGGCGGGTGCCTGTAATACCAGCTACTCAGGAGGCTGAGGCGGAACAATCACTTGAACCTGGGAGGTGGAGGTTGCAGTGAGCCAAGATCATGCCACTACACTCCAGCCTGAGCAACAGAGCAAGACTCTATCTCAAAAAAAAAAAAAAAAAAAAAAAAAAAAAAACCTGAGACGACAAAAAAAGAAAACTGAGAAATAAAATGAAAGCATTAAGCTGGCTCTTCCTATATGTACTGTGCCACTGGATAACCAAATAGTGGATGAATAGAATTATAAAATCTTCTTATAAAATTATTTCAGCTTATCAAAGCCAAATGAGTTTTGATTGGGCTTGGTTTTTGTTTTGTTTTGTACTGTTTTTAGTGTTCTTTGGTGAATTAAGAGTATTAACATTTCGTTACCACCAGTGAATTGCTGGATAGAGGCATTGAGCACCACTGGCTACTAACATCAAAAAAGAGACAACCAGAAATGTGGCTCCTAATAAAAAGGTACAATGCCACTTGTAGTATTGCTAAAGGGGTTGAACCTGGGTTTGAGCAAGCCTCTGGATCCAGTGCCAGCATGCAGGAAGTGCAGGTGACAGGAACAAGTGAGCTCTCCTTCAAGTAATGCATGCAGTCAGCAAAATTGAGACCATGAGAAACTCTGGTCAGATGAGTCAGGGTTTTCAACAAATAAATTGTAAAGAAAAGATAGAGGGGAACCAGCAGATGAAATGAGAATCAAAAGACCTATCAAGCCAAAAACTTAAGGACAAAACTAAAAACTATGGCCTCTAAGGATGTGTACTGAGGTGATAAAACCATAAAGAAATGCTCAGATGTGATTTCTACACAAATCAAGACTGAACTTACTTTTTGAGGAAGCGTTGGAATGGGGGACACAGAGAGGCTTTTAGGGGGCTTGCAAGGTTTTGTGTTTGATCCAGGTGGTGGTGAACAGGATACTTGCCTTGTAAAATGATTCTCTAAACTACACATTTGCTTTGTGTGCTCTGTGTTTTGTTTCACATGTTTAAAATGTTGGCTAGAGCTGTTCTCTGGGTGCTGTGGGAGCCCAGGGGAGGCACTTAATTTCTGAGGGGAGAGGATAAGGAAAGGTCCTCTGAAAGGTTATTATTGGGAGGGTGAGGGTAGGTTGGGATGAATGTCAGAGATGAGGCTAGAGAAAAAGACAAGCTCACAACTGATCTTCTGTACTAGGCTTGACCCAGGACTCCATGGGGAACCACTGAGGAATTTTAAGCCAACAATTGACAAGATCAGAGGTGTATTTTAGAAAGATCCCCAGGTGCGGTGGCTCACACCTATAACCCCAGCACTTTGGGAGGCCGAGGCGGGTGGATCATGAGGTCAGGAGATTGAGACCATCCTAGCTAATACGGTGAAACCCCGTCTGTACTAAAATTACAAAAAATGAGCAGGGCGTGGTGGCGGGCGCCTGTAGTCCCAGCTACCTGGGAGGCAGAGGCAGGAGAATCGCTTGAACCCAGGAGGAAGAGGTTGCAGTGAGCCGAGATGGCGCCACTGCACTTCAGCCTGGGCAACAGAGGGAGACTCCGTCTCAAAAGAAAAAAAAAAGGATCTGTCATAGTAATCCAAACCAAAGAAGTAATGCAGGGACAGGGAGGATAGTGAAGAAAGTAATCATAGGAGAGATTGCTTAAGGAGGCAGAAACACAGGACTTCAGAGAGTATCTGGGGTAGAGAGGGAGGGAAGGAGGGAGAAAAGAAATCAAGGAGGTTTCTCTAGTTCTGACTTGGGCAGCTAGGTGGAAAATGATGGTGTTATTAACCAAGGAATACAGTACAGGTGGTGGAGCAAGAATGGGGAGAGATGATAATAAATACTATTTTAAAAATGGAGATGATGTTTACATGCAATGATATGCACAGAGCTGAAGCATACAATCCAGGGAGGTTTCTATTTTTTTATTTTTTATTTTTTGAGATGGAGTCTCGCTGTGTTGCCCAGGCTGGAGTGCAGTGGCACAATCTCAGCTCACTGCAACCTCCGCCTCCCGGGTTCAAGTGATTCTCCTGCCTCAGCCTCCTGAGTAACTGGGATTACAGGTGCACACCACCATGCCCAGATAATTTTTGTATTTTTAGTAGAGGTGGGGTTTCACCACGTTGGCCAGGCTGGTCTCAAACTCATGACCTCAGGTGATCCACCCGCCCTGGCCTCCCAAAGCACTGGGATTACAGGCATAAGCCACTGTGCCCAACCTCTGGTGAGGGTTTTTAGATGTATGCACCCATATAACTAACACACCAGTCAAGATATAAAACATTTCCTTCACCCTAAAGTTCCCTCGTAACCCCTTCCAGTTAATCTCCACCTTGCTGGCAAGCACCGTTGTATTGTGTTTGTTTTTTGAGACAGGGTTTTGCTGTCACCCAGGCTGGAGTGCAGTGACACCATCAGCTTATTGTAACCTCAAACTCCTAGACTCAAGGGATTCTCCCACCTCAGCCTCCCGAGTAGCTTGGACTACAGGTGCACACCACCATGCCTGGCAACATTTTTTAACTTTTTTGTAGAGACGGGGTCTTGCTATGTTGTCCAGGCTGATCTCGAACTGGACTCAAGCTGTCCTCCCACCTCAGCTTCCCAAAGTGCTGGCATTACAGGTGTGAGCCACTGTGCCTGGCCTAAGCACTGTTTTGATTTTTATCACCATAGACTAGTTTTGTCTTTTTTGTTTTGTTTTGTTTTTTGAGATAAGAGTCTTGCTCTGTCACCCAAGCTTGAGTGCAGTGATGCGATCATGTTTCACTGCAGCTTTGATTTCCTGGGCTTAAGTGATCCTCCTACCTCAACCACCCTAGTAGCTGGGACTACAGTTGTGCGTCACCACACTCAGCTAATTTTTTGTTTTTTGTTTTTTTGTTTTGTTTTGTTTTCAGAGATGGAGTCTCAGTATGTTGCCTAAGCTGGTCTCAAACTCCTGAGCTCAAGCAGTCCACCTACCTGGACCTCCCAAAGTGCTGGGATTATAGGCGTCTGCCACTGCGCCCAGCCCCAGCATATTATTTTTGAGGTTCATACATGTTCTTGTCTACATCAATGGTTTATCCCTTTGTATTGCTGAATAGTACTCTATTGTACAAATACACCAGAACTTGTTTATCCACACTTCTGTTGATGGATGTTTGGGTTGTTTCCAGTTTGTTTGTTTGTTTTACTATTATGAATACAGCTGCTGTAAACATTCTTGTGTAAGTCTTTTTGTAAACACCTATTTTCATTTATCTTGTATAAATAACTAGGAGTGGAATTCCTGGGTCATAGGATAGGTATGCATTTAACTGTAGAAGAAACTGAAACACTTTTCTAAAGTGATTCTAAGGCCAGGTGCGGTGGCTCATGCCTGTAATCCCAGCACTTTGGGAGGCCAAGGCAGGCGGATCACTTGAGGTCAGAAGTTTGAGACCAGCCTGGCTAATATGGTGAAACCCCATCTCTACTAAAAATACAAAAATTAGCCAGGCGTGGTGGCGCACGCCTGCAGTCCCAGCTACTCGAGAGGCTGAGGCACGAGAATTGCTTGAACCTGGGAGGCAGAGGCTGCAGTGAGCAAAGATCATGGCCACTGCATCCAAAAAAAAAAAAAAAGACATCTCTAGGAGTTACTCCATGATTTTTCAACCTACTAGTGAAGGTCTTTTGCCAACTTTGTTTTGTGTTTCACTATGTCTTCTCCCCTCTTATTAAACTATCAGCAACTTGAGCACAGAGACCATGTCTTAATACCGATTTATTAATATTTTCTCTTAGGACCTGTTACATAATAAGGCTTAATAGATGTCTGTCGGATGAGTGAATGAACAAAATTAAACACAGAAGTTAAGTGGAAAATTAGAATAAATTTTCATAGCAGGTGATCCCTACTACATCTGATGAAGTCTTGCCCTGTACATGTGCAGCCCAGCCTTCAGCCTAGGAACTGCCCCTCCTCCCCACCCCCTCTGTGCTATTCACTTTATTCTGGTACCTTGCCTCACAAATGCCAGCCTCTTCAGCAGCACAGAACTCAAATCTGCCTGCTTGGTGGGACTGCCACTCTGCTTGGGCACCATCTTCTTACACCATAGTAAGAAAGTGCCTCAGAATGAATGCCAGGATGTTCTTGGCACTCACCTCCTATGTTTCCTTTCTTTCAAAAATCACAGTCTTTTTTTTTTTTAGATGGAGTTTTGCTCTTGTTCTGGCTGGAGTGCAGTGGTGTGATCTCAGCTCACTAAAACCTCTGCCTCCCGGGTTCAAGCGATTCTCCTGCCTCAGCCTCCCAAGTAGCTGGGATTACAAGTGTGCACCACCATGCCTGGCTAATTTTGTATTTTTAGCAGAGATGGGGTTTCACCATGTTGGTGAGGCTGTTCTTGAACTCCCGACTTCAAGTGATCCACCCACCTCCGCCTCCCAAAGTGCTGGGATTACAGGTGTGAGCCACCGCACCCGGCCAAAAATCACAGTCTTGAGCAGCTTGCTGCTCAGTGCCTGAAAACACATATTCACTTGCCTCATATATTTTGTCCAGCTTTATAGTTGTTTATGGCAGGAAGGGAATATCCAGTTTCCGTTATTCTGTCATGGCCTGAAGTGGAAGTCAGAGTTCCATTTTGGACATGATGTTGAGTTTTTGTTATCTATGGAACATCCAGGTAGAAATGCCCAAAAGAGAATTGGGTATTCACGTGTGGAGCTAGAAAGATGATTGGGGCTAGACATTTGGATTTTGTAGTCATGCATTTCCAGTGGTAGTTGAAGCCAAGGGAATGGATGTGATTGCTCAGCTACAAAATGGATAGAGAATGAGTAGAAGAACAATTTTCTCTTAAAAAGCCTGAGAGGCCAGGCTCGATGGCTCACGCCTGTAATCCCAGGACTTTGGGAGGCCAAGATGGGCAGATCACAAGGTTAGGAGTTCGACACCAGCCTGACCAACATGGTGAAACCCCGTCTCTACTAAAAATACAAAAAAGTTAGCTGGGCATGGCGGTGTGCGCCTGTAATCCCAGCTACTCAGGAGGCTGAGGCAGGAGAATCACTTGAACCTGAGAGGCAGAGGTTGCAGTGAGCCGAGATCGCACCACTGCACTCCAGTCTGGGTGGTAGAGTGAGACTCTGTCTCAAAAAAAAAAAAAAAAAAAGCCTGAGAATGTATAACTAAAGAAATAAACGAAGAACAGGAAACATCAGTGTCATAGAAGCCGCCATAAATAAACTGGTGTCCATCTTGGGGAGTGGCAGATGTCAGGAGCCCAGCCTTTCCCCTATTATGCTTAACAGTCCAGAGCCCAGCTTTTCTCTCTCTTTTTTTTTTTTTTTTTTTTTGAGAGAGTCTCGCTCTGTCGCCCAGGCTGGAGTGCAGTGGCGCGATCTCCGCTCACTGCAAGCTCCACCTCCCGGGTTCACGCCATTCTCCTGCCTCAGCCTCCCGAGTAGCTGGGACTACAGGCACCCGCCACCACGCCCGGCTAATTTTTTGTATTTTTAGTAGAGACGGGGTTTCACCATGTTAGCCAGGATGGTCTCGATCTCCTGACCTCGTGATCCGCCCACCTCGGCCTCCCAAAGTGCTGGGATTACAGGCGTGAGCCACCGCGCCCGGCCGCTTTTCTCTCTTAGTAAAGTCTCGCTGGTGATCATTAGAGAAGAACCTACTCATCTGGGCTCCAGTACAAATCTGCAGAATTAAAGCCACGCCAGTCTTGAGGAAGCTCAGCATTTCTTCCAGACATAATCAGACATTTGTGCTCCTAGCCTTCTTGGGGCTTAGATAACTGACAAGTATGATTAGCATTTTCATAAAATTGAGAGGATACCCAAGGCTCTAGAGAGGTCAACAATTTGATGAAGGTCAGTTGTTTCTAGTCCTACTTTATTTATTTATGAGATAGGGTCTCACTCTGTCACCTAGGCTGGAGTGCAGTGAAGCAATCTTGGCTCACTGCAACCTCTGCCTCCCAGGTCCAAATGATTCTCCTGCCTCAGCCTCCTGAGTAGCTGAGATTACAGGTGCCCACCACCACACCTGGCTAATTTTTGTTTTGTTTTGAGACAGAGTCCCGCTCTGTTGCCCAGGCTGGAGTATAGTGGCACGATCTCGGCTCACTGCAACCTCCACCTCCCAGGTTCAAGCAATTCTCCTGTCTCAGCCTCCTGAGTTGCTGGAACTACAGGCGCACGCCCCCAAACCCGGCTAATTTTTTTGTATTTTTAGTAGAGGCAGGGTTTCACTGTATTAGCCAGGCTGGTCTTGAACTCCTGACCTCAAGTGATCCACCTGCCTCGGCATCCCAAAGTGCTGGGATTACAGGCACGAGCCACTGCAGCCAGCCAAATTTTTGTATTTTTTAGTAGAGGCAAAGTTTCACCATGTTGGCCAGGCTGGTCTGGAACTCCTGACCTCAAGTAATCCACCCACCTTGGCCTCCCAAAGTGCTGGGATTACAGGCGTGAGCCACCATGTCCGGCCATAGTCCTACTTTCTAGTTGTCTAGAGACTTGGGTTTCAGACTTGGAAGTTGCTCTAGGTCATCTACTTGGCCCTTTGTTTTTTAAGTGGGAAAATTGACACTCATAAATGAGAGACCTTGAACTAGGTATAAAAACAAGTAAATGAAGCCAGCTTACATCATCAGGGATATCTGATGGCATTCAAAGGGCAAGGATAAAGCTGAGCTTTGAGAATAGACTAGAGCTATGACCTGCAGTGCTATAGAGAAACTGGATGCCCCTTGCTTCTGCCCTTTTCTCTGCTTTTTTCTGTGTCTCTAATTTATTCTTTTCTCAATGTAGATCAGCTTCTTCTGTCTTGTCTCCTCCTATGCCCCAGCCTGGGGAAAATGATCACCAGAGGCTATTCCTGAGTTTATAGCTTAGAAAAGGGGCCACTCATTCCCCACCATTCAGGAATAAGGCCATCCTGATTCTAGAATTGCAACTCCTGTTCTCCTGGAAAAGGGCTCGATGGCCCCTTTAGAACCATCCAGAGTCCAATCAGTTGCAGTCAAGAGGTCGGGGATCCTTTGTTCTACATATACATCTGCTGGGAACCTTACCTCTATAATCATGTGATATAAATCACTGGTAGGGGAGAAGAAGATTTTCCAGAAAAAGCAAGTAGGTAGATGGCTGGGCAGCCAGCCCATAGGTGTTCAGAATAACCAATTAACTGCTCAGGATAACCAATGGCAGAGCCAGGACCAAAACCCACAGCATCTGACTCAGCAGTAGTCTGTCCTGGGGCTGCCCCACGTGGGGAAACAGTAATTACTTGATCTGGGAACAAGCAGAGACAGACAGATGGACAGTCACTGCCTCAGTTCTCATTCCTAATAGTGTAAAGAGATAGAGGTCTCTTCCTTGAGAGTGTAGGGGATCCAGAGCTCTAGGACCCTAACAGCCAAAGGTGGGTTCCCTCTTAGAAGTCCAGACTCTTCTAGTTGCAAGTCACAGAAGCCCAAATCAAACTAGCTTGAGCAAAAGGGGGATTTAGTAGAAGGCCATTGGGATATCCTACAAAATTGAAGGAAGAACTGTAGATTCCAAGACATCTTTAAGAATCTGGAATCAGTACTATCAGGATACACACACACATGTGCTCACCTTGTTTTCTTCCTCTTTTTAAAGGTCATCTTTCTGTTTGGCTCTTATACCAGAAGGTTTCCTCCACATGGTGGTGAACCTGGCAGTTCCGGAGTCGTATCCTTTTTTTTTTTTTTTTGAGATGGAGATTCGCTCTTGTTGCCCATGCTGGAGCGCAATGGCACGATCTGGGCTCACTGCAATCCCTGCCTCCCTGGGTTCAAGCGATTCTCCTGCCTCAGACTCCCAAGTAGCTGGGATTACAGGCATGCACCACCATGCCCGGCTAATTTTGTATTTTTCATAGAGACAGGGTTTCTCCATGTTGGTCAGGCTGGTCTTGAACTCCCAACCTCAGGTGATCCACCTGTCTCAGCCTCTCAAAGTGCTGGGATTACAGGCCTGAGCCATTGCGCCCGGCCTGGAGTCATATCTTTATAACATCTGACCATAGAGAAAAGAGAGTCTTCCTTGCTAATTCCTGGTGGAAAAATCTAGAGTAGGATTCACATTGAAAGGATGGAGTCCTCTGACTGGCTGAGCCTTGTTTATTTGCTCACCCTTGGGCTCAGGAGATGGCAGGGGGTATTTTAAGAAAGGGACTGGAGGCCGGGTGTGGTGGCTCACGCCTGTAATCCCAGCACTTTGGGAGGCCAAGCCGGGCAGATCACCTGAGGTCGGGAATTTGAGACCAGCCTGACCAACATGGAGAAACCTGGTCTCTACTAAAAATACAAAATTAGCTAGTTGTGGTAGTGCATGCCTGTAACCCCAGCTACTTGGGAGGCTGAGGCAGGAGAATTGCTTGAATCTGGGAGGTGGAGGTTATGGTGAGGCCAAGATCGCACCACTGCACTCCAGCCTGGGCAAGAAGAGTGAAACTCCATCTCAAAAAAATAAAAAAGGGGGACTGGTAAGTAGGATAGACAGAAATCTCTTTTGTTTTGTGTCTGTCTCCTAGGTGACCATGGAGGCTGGTGGCCTCCCCTTGGAGCTGTGGCGCATGATCTTAGCCTACTTGCACCTTCCCGACCTGGGCCGCTGCAGCCTGGTATGCAGGGCCTGGTATGAACTGATCCTCAGTCTCGACAGCACCCGCTGGCGGCAGCTGTGTCTGGGTTGCACCGAGTGCCGCCATCCCAATTGGCCCAACCAGCCAGATGTGGAGCCTGAGTCTTGGAGAGAAGCCTTCAAGCAGCATTACCTTGCATCCAAGACATGGACCAAGAATGCCTTGGACTTGGAGTCTTCCATCTGCTTTTCTCTATTCCGCCGGAGGAGGGAACGACGTACCCTGAGTGTTGGGCCAGGCCGTGAGTTTGACAGCCTGGGCAGTGCCTTGGCCATGGCCAGCCTGTATGACCGAATTGTGCTCTTCCCAGGTGTGTACGAAGAGCAAGGTGAAATCATCTTGAAGGTGCCTGTGGAGATTGTAGGGCAGGGGAAGTTGGGTGAAGTGGCCCTGCTGGCCAGCATTGATCAGCACTGCTCAACCACACGCCTGTGCAACCTCGTCTTCACGCCAGCCTGGTTCTCACCCATCATGTATAAGGTGGGTATCCACATCAATAGACGGCCTTTCTAGTTCTGACCCCAGAGGCTTGCCCTCTTTTCTGGGCTTTTAATCCCTTTTTTTGTTGGAATTGAAAGTTAAGAGTTATTATTATACTCATACTCCTCTGAGTGCTGAACCAGTTGAGAAACAGGCACAGTGATCAGTAGAGTTCAGAATTCTGCTTTATTCTTGGTAAAGCAGTATTTAAAAATGGCTTGGGCTTGGAACCAAAATTCTTTTGCACCTCTTCCCTTTCCAACTGGACCAACTGGAGCCACCAGTCTAGCAGCGGCGGGAAAGCCAGGTTCTGGAAGCATGCCACTTGGTGACAGGAAGCAGAGAGCCCATTAGCTGCTCATGGAGGCATGCCCAGAGTGAGAGCCACAGAGGAAAAAGGCTATACAGGACTAGTCACCTTCAGCACATGAACCCCACCCTGTGTGGGATCAAGGAAGGGCAGGCTTTTACCATGATTTGCTAGTTCTCAAGGGCAATGGTGAGAAGGTTAGAAAATATTTGTCCAACATATTCCTTCCGTGAATGCAGAGCCAGAAGATGGTTCAAAGTAAAGCAGGTATCCAGGTGTTGGTAGTTCCTGGCAGAACAGTCTATAGCTTATACATTGCCTAGAAACTTGGATTATGTAGGTAGTCAATAAAAATTATATCGCTTTCCTGCCTGCTCATAAAAAATAAAAGATTTTTGGCCAGGTGCAGTGGCTCACACCTGTAATCCCAGCACTTTGGGAGGCCGAGGCAGGTGGATCACCTGAGGTCAGGAGTTCGAGACCAACATGGTGAAACCTGTCTCTACTAAAAATACAAAATCAGCGGGGCATGGTGGCAGGTGCCTGTAATCCCAGCTACTCGGGAGGCTGAGGCAAAAGAATCGCTTGAACCCGGGAGGCGGAGGTTGCAGTGAGCTGAGATGGTGCCATCGCACTCCAGCCTGGAGGACAAGAGTGAGACTTTGTCTCAAAAAAAAAAAATCATATATATATGATTTTTAAAAGTATATTGCCAATAACAATTGTCTCTCATGTTTGTAATGATCCTTATACCACTGGTCATTTGTGACAGATGTAGTGTGTGCATGCCATATGCCTTATAGCCATTATCTCATGGGTTCCTCTCCACATGCCTCTGAGATAGGTAATGTCATCTGATTTTATAGATGAGAAAACTGAGGCTCAGCAAGATTAAGTGACATCAAGGTC
The DNA here is from genome assembly GCF_000001405.40 of Homo sapiens. Lineage (NCBI taxonomy): Eukaryota > Metazoa > Chordata > Mammalia > Primates > Hominidae > Homo > Homo sapiens. The sequence goes on along the minus strand of NC_000009.12, from coordinate 37,539,964 downwards.
TCAGACTTAGTAAGATCCAAAGTCTATTCATAATCTAGGTGACTTTCCATCTGTGACCTCATTGGACCCCCACAGCAAACATTTGTGTAGGTGAAGTAGATGTGGTATGCCTATTTTGCAAATGAGGGCTACTGAAGGTCACAGTTGGTAAGTAACTTTCTCAAGTGGGTAATTAGGGAAGTTAGATCTCAAATTCAGGCCTTCTCATCTAAATGCTTATAAAATTACATCATGCTATGTTACCTGAAAGCTTAAAAGCTTGTGTTTTAGCCCTAGAGCATTTCAGAAGAACTGATGAACTTCTCTGGTGCTGGTCTGCAGGCCCAGAAGGAGAGTTTGTTTCTAGAAAGAAATAATGTTCCAGACCCTTCACATTTTGTAATACATTTATTCTTAGAGTAATATTTTGATTTCAGCCTCTACTTCTCCCTCAGAAGTATAGTCATAGATCCTCAAGGGATGAGGCCTGGCGTTAGACTTGTTTGTAGCCTGCCCTGTGGCTTAGTGCTTAGCATATAACATATATTAGTTAGTGTTCAGTCCATGATTGTTTTTCAACTAAAGGAGACATGGGGGCCTGGGATGGCTTTGCCTGAAAAATGCAAAGGCCAAGGCGATTTCACAGCAGTTTTCAGTGACTTCTAAGGAGAACCTTAGCAGTGGCTCTGCATCTCCAGAGAGCTGGCTTTTTTATCTTTAGAGAGAAAATGGATTTAAATAGCAAGGAAAAATTAGGTTAGCCATAAGGAAGAAATTAGAAAAGTTAAGGGGGCTTAAATTCTGGGACAATCTATCAAAGGTCAATTTTAAAACTTATTCAAGGGGTAGGTACGTCTGGATTATTAAATGGAATCATGAGATACTCCCTCATTTGATGATTCAAATACATCTGATGAAATATGTATAAAATCCAGAAACAGCTCTTTTTCAGGAATAGAGAGTGAGTGGGCCTCACCAAGACTGCTTCTCAGTTGGGCCCACAGAGCCAAGGGGCCCAAATGAATTAGGCAGGAGAGTTTGGCACTGCCCCATCCCCACTCCAGACTCTTGAGGACACTCTGCTCCTTGTGTCCCTGACCCCAGATGATAATAACTGACTTTTATTGAGTGCTAAGTTTGTGCCTAGCATGGTGCTTTGTGAACTAGTGAGCCCCATGCTGCAGACAAGGAAACTGAGGCTTAAAGAGGTGAAGTCATTTGTCCAAGATAACACTTGCAGTCAACCCCCGGAGCCCATGCTTTTTTTTTTTTTTTTTGGACACCGAGTCTTGCTCTTTCGCCCAGGCTGGAGTGTACTGGCGCAATCTCGGCTCACTGCAACCTCTGCCTCCCAGGCTCAAGCTATTCTCATTCCTCAGCCTCCCAAGTAGCTGGGACTACAGGCGCACACCACCACGCCCAGCTAATTTTTGTATTTTTAGTGGAGATGAGGTTTCACCATGTTGACAAGGCTGGTCTCGAACTCCTGACCTCAAGTGATCTGCCCATCTTGGCCTTCCAACGTGCTGGAACTACGGGCGTGAGCCACCACACCTGGCAGAGCCCATGCTTTTAACCACTGTTCAATGCTTCCTGGCAATGGCAGTATACCTTGTCCCCTCTCTTTAGAGACATATTTTGCTGTGCACCACGTGCATCAGTTGCCACACAGTCAGAACTCTTTGCCAGCACATGCGGCTAGGCCTCTCTCACTGCCTGTCCTAGCCCTGGCACGTGATTGAGACTTGAGGTTTTAGGAGGAGTCATGCTGCAGTGTGAACTTTTCTGCCATCATCTACTTGTCTCCCTTCCTTTGAGATTAGAAGGATGGAGGTGCGGGCAGCTCCAGTTTCCCTCCCTCTCTGATGCAGAGCAGCTCCCCAGTTCCTTTTGGGGACAGCTGACATCCAGACCCCAGTGGGGAGGGGAAGATGATCAGCAGAACAAATGGCCTTTCCATGTTCTACCCTCCTTAAAGGGCAGCTAGAGTCCAAAACCAATCTCATCCCTCTTACAGCCGTTTTCTTCTTTTCATTCCCCAGACAACATCAGGTCACGTCCAGTTTGACAACTGCAACTTTGAGAACGGGCACATCCAGGTCCATGGCCCGGGTACTTGCCAAGTGAAGTTCTGTACCTTCAAAAACACCCATATCTTCCTGCACAACGTGCCCCTGTGTGTCCTGGAAAACTGTGAATTTGTGGGCAGTGAAAACAACTCTGTGACTGTTGAGGGTCACCCATCTGCAGATAAGAACTGGGCCTACAAGTATCTACTAGGGCTTATCAAGTCCTCACCCACTTTTCTCCCCACAGAGGACTCTGACTTTTTAATGTCCCTGGACCTAGAGAGCCGGGACCAGGCCTGGAGCCCAAAGACCTGTGACATTGTTATCGAGGGCAGCCAGAGCCCTACCAGCCCAGCCTCTAGCTCCCCAAAGCCAGGCTCCAAGGCTGGCTCACAGGAGGCAGAGGTGGGTAGTGATGGTGAAAGGGTGGCCCAGACCCCGGACAGCAGCGATGGAGGCCTGAGTCCCAGCGGTGAGGATGAAGATGAGGACCAGCTGATGTACAGACTATCCTACCAAGTGCAGGGCCCACGCCCTGTATTGGGGGGCTCATTTCTGGGCCCACCTCTACCAGGAGCATCCATTCAGCTGCCCAGCTGCCTAGTGCTGAACTCACTGCAGCAGGAGCTGCAGAAGGATAAGGAGGCCATGGCACTGGCCAACTCCGTGCAGGGCTGCCTCATCCGCAAGTGCCTCTTCCGGGACGGGAAGGGAGGCGTCTTCGTCTGCTCCCACGGCAGAGCCAAGATGGAAGGAAACATCTTCCGGAACCTGACTTACGCAGTGCGGTGTATACATAATAGCAAGGTGCTGTCATGACTTTAGATTGGTCAGGGGGCTCCTGTGGCTATATGTAGGAAGGGTTTGATGGGGCTATTTTGCATTTTAAAAATAATTTTCTTTAAACTTATTCACGCACGCTTGACGTCATGCCCATCATCTGATTTGGAAAGGACAGAAACGCTTTTTCTCATTTCCCAGAAAGAGAGGCCCAGAGAGAGAACGTGGCTTACTCAGGGTCACATAGCAAGTTAGGCAGAATTGAGACTAGAAACTCGGGTCTCCTGCCTCTTTTCACTATGTCATGCTGCTGCTCACATATCTCACCATGTCGGAGTAGGAGAAACAAAGCCTGGATAAGAGAAAATTCAGGGAGATATGATTACTACCTTCACTCCAAACTGGAGTAGGGTTGTTGAGGAAACGTCTGTGCTGGGTACAATGAGAAGAAGGTCCAGGGAAAATTGGACACGTGATAAGAAGGGGTGGAGAGTGAGGGTGTCCCAACAGCAGAAACATCCTACGCCAGAGCCTGGGTGTGAGGTTGAATTCAACCATGCGGTGGGGCTAGGTTGAAGGATGAAGCTGGGGGTGAGCAAAAGCTACCTTACCCAGACCTGGAATCCCCCTTGAGACATTTGGGCCTTATGCTAAGAACAGTCCTTCTAGCCACTGCGACAATCAACACCTTCTATGTGCTGGGACTTAGGGCACCACAGGACAATCTGCAAATCCTGTAAATGGTTGATGACAGGAAGGCCTTCTGAAGGGAAAGACAGCCCATGCAGAAGAAAGCATGGCATAGCACCTAGATTCGAGTCTCACCTCTCCACTAACTCACTATGAACATGACCTTCACTTTCGTAAAATGAAAATAAGCATCCCTATTTTTCTTCTCTCACTGGCTATTGGAAGGTCCCATGCCGGAAGTATTCAGTAAACTAAAGAACATTGTACAAAGGTCACTCATGAGTGTTGCAGGCTTCTAAAATGGTTAATAGCAATCACATTTTAATTAATTTAAATTTAATTGTGTTTTACCCAGCCCACTTCCAAAGAGGATTTCAGGTGATGTTACTTTGAAAGCATAATGCAAGACTCCTGTACACATACATAAAAGAAAATGGCCAAATAAAAAGGGAAAGGTAATAGCTTTGCTGTCGTGACTACCACGATGAAAGGATCTGGCTCAAGCCCTCAAGGAGGGCATTCTTCCTTGCATAGTTATTGAGAATATGGCTTTCTAGTTAAAGTCTGGCTCTGCCCCTTAAGTCGGCAGGGTGAAGACGCGAGGCAAAGGAGGTGTGTGTGAAGGCCCAGAAGTAAGGGGAGACACACCCTTTCACCCTTTCAAGCAAGGCCTTGATCCTTGCTCCCCCACAGAAGGCTGTCACCTGGCTCTGTCCTCTAGAACATCCCAGGAGGGTAAAGGCTGGCAGGAGGAGCCTGGTTGCTTGAGGCTCCAAGAAGAAAAGTGTCAGCCGGGTGCTGTGGCTCAAGCCTGTAATCCTAGCACTTTGGGAGGCTGAGGCGGGCAGATTGCCTGAGCTCAGGAGTTCGAGACCAGCCTGGGCAACACGGTGAAACCCCGTCTCTACTAAAATAAAATAAAAAAAAAATAGCCAGGCATGGCAGCGGGCACTTGTAGTCCCAGCTACTCGGGAGGCTGAGGCAGGAGAATTGCTTGAACCCGGGAGGTGGAGGTTGCAAGTGAAAGCCAAGATTGCGCCACTGCATTCCAGCCTGGGTGACAGAGCAAGACTCCGTCTCCAAAAAAAAAATAAAAAAAAAGAAGTGTCACCGACTGTGATTTTCTTCTTTATGTGTCATAAATTTTAGTTGGAAGTCAGATATCTCATGTAGGACAGTGGGGACTGAGCTCTGTAGTATTTAGTTTGGAAATGGGCACACCTCTTCTTTTGCCTGGCTCTTAGGAGGTCGATCTAGTTAGGAGCTGAGCCCGTTTGAATTATGGTGATGATAGGATTATCCTCAGCGTCCCGTAGGCTTCAGCTCTCTCCAGCATTACCTCGTGCTAGTTTTCTCCGCTTCAGATCTTCCTTTGTGCCTGCTGCTCAGAGGCGATCTCCGCTGCTCTCGCCCTCCCTCAGCAGTAGACTGCCATTATTTGTCACCCTACGTGATGGCAGGGTTTCTCTCTTGTCCTGGGTCATCCTTAGTCTAGGTAGGTGCTGTGTCTGTGGTCTTGAGAGCAGGACTTTTTCAGTGACCCTGGCTCTACCCCCAGCACTAGGGGACCTCTGATGATCTGGGCCTAAGTCACTTTCCTCCCAACACCCCCAGAGATAAGAGTGTTTTCCCGCTGTTTCTCTGTGCATACGGTTTGTTTTGTAAGAGAGTTAGGGGGAAAGAACACAGGAGAGGGGCTTAATGCCTCTCTCACTTTTGTCCCCAGCCTGCGTCAGGAGGGTGCTGTCTCCAGTCTCTCATCTGCCCCCAGTTTTCTCCATGAACACCTAGTGAAGGCCACAGAGAAGTGAACAGGTGCAGCTACTCCCAGAGTTTCTGCACTCACACTAATTCACAGCTGGTCTTTAACAGTGCATTGAAAATGTTAGCTGAGTTCTTACTGGCTTGTATGACACATGCAGCCCTGCATTCAGCAGGGAAGTGCTCAGGCCTCGTCTCCTTGGAGGCGCCTGTCTTTCTTTTTTTGAGACGGAGTCTCACTCTTTCACCCAGGCCGGACTGCAGTGGCACGATCTGGGCTCACTGCACGCTCCGAAAGGCACCTGTCTTTTTGTAGCATTCAGGCTAGCCGGTTGTCCAGCAGCCTCAGCTCTGATGGGTTCCACCAGAAAGTCCATGTTTGTGTATATTCTTTCTACTTTCTCCATCCTAAGCAGAAGCTGAAACCTTACCATTTATACTCTTGTTCTACTTTAGTCTTCACAGAATTTTGTCCTAATGCAATATATTATTAGTAGTACACAATTTATAATAATATATTTTATTATTAATCTATAATTGTTTAAGACAGCATAGATAAACATTCCAGATTTTTTATATATTATCATGCTTTGGTATCCGTGGGGGCTTGGTTCCAGGATACTAAAATCCACAGATGCTCAAATCCCTTATATAAAATGTTATAGTATTTGCACCTAACCTGCACACATCCTCCCACACTTCAGTCATCTCTAGATTACTTATAATACCCAATACGATGCAAATGCTATGTAAATAGCTCTTCTACTGGGTTTTTTTGTTTGTTGGTTGTGTTTTTTTTGTTTTTTTTTTTTTGAGACGGAGTCTCCACTGTTTAGCCCAGGCTGGAGTGCAAAGATGTGATCTCAGCTCACTGCAACCTCTGCCTCCTGGGTTCAAGCGATTCTCCTGCCCCAGCCTCCCAAGTAGCTGAAACTACAGGCATGAGCCACCACGCCCAGCTAATTTGTTGTATTTTTAGTAGAGATGGGGTTTCACCATGTTGGCCAGGCTGGTCTCAAACTCCTGACCTCAGGTGATCCGCCCGCCTCAGCCTCCCAAAGTGCTGGGATTACAGGCATGAGCCAACACGTCCAGCCTATACTGTTGTTGTTTTTTTTAATTCAATTTTATTTTATTTTTGAGATAAGGTCTCACTCTGTCGCCCAGGCTGGAATACAGTGGCACAATCTCGGCTCACTGCAACCTCTGCCTCCCTGATTCAAGAGATTCTCCTGCCTTAGCCTCCTGAGTAGCTGGGACTACAGGCATCTGCCACCATGCCTGGCTAGTTTTTGTATTTTTAGTAGAAACGAGGCTTCACCGTGTTGGCCAGGCTGGTCTCAAACTCCTGACCTCAAGTGATCCGCCCACCTCGGCCTCCCAAAGTGCTGAGATTACAGACGTGAGCCACCACACCTGGCCTGTTTTTCAATTTTATTATTTATTATTTTTAATAATGTATATTCAATCCACAGTTGGTTGAATCCATGGATGCAGAACCCACAGACATGGGGGAGACAACTGTACTTATTAAACATAAAAAGAAAATGTAATTGGAAATATATCCCTTTATTAGCAGGTTGCTGGTTATGGGAACTTGTTTGAAGGAGGCTTTGTTATACCAATATCTCTAATCATCCCTTCATTTGGAGTCTCAGTAGTTTTCCACCCCAGGGTGATACACCATGAAAGATTTAGGATGTGCAAGAACAGGCCTTTGTTTTATAAAGTGGAAGGGAAGGTGGGAGAGGAGAACCTGTGTGGTACCTTACTGTCCGTGCCGTCTCAGACAGGTGGATTTTAGTGAAGGTGCATTGGAAGTGGTGGACCTGGAACTTTATTTCATTAAAAGTAGCTGCACCCTCGACCCCTGGGGAAATCTTCATGCAAACTTAGTGCATGTAAAGTTTGAAGACCACTCAGTCCCATCTTCCCCTAAGCGTCCTTTCTATCCCATCATCCAGCTATGCTGCTTGCAGGTTCTGAATATAGAGCACAGGGCCAAGCTTTGGTCCAGGTTTTAGTTAAAGGACCAGTGTGGGCCAGGTGTAGTGGTTCATGCCTGTAATGCCAGCAGTTTGGGAGGCCAAGGTGGGAGGATTGCTTGAGCCCAAGAGTTCCAGACCAGCCTGGGCAACATAGTGAGATTCCATCTCTACAAAAAATAGAAAAGTTAACAACAAAATTACTCCAGCCCACATCCATAGTAAAAATAAAAATAAACAAAAATTCAAAAATTAGCCTGTAGCCCCAGCTATTTGGGAGGCTGAGGTGGGAGGATCACGTGAGCCTGGGAGGCGGAGCTTGCAGTAAGCCGAGATCATGCCACTGCACTCCAGCCTGGGCAACAGAGCAAGACCCTGTCTCAAAAAAAAAAAAAAAAAAAAAAAAGAACCAATGTGAGACCGCTAAGGAGCCTGCAGGGCAAAGCCAGGTAGGGCCTGGAGATGGCTGTGTCCTGGGAGCACACAGTGGGAGCGTGGCTGTGCCAGCATTGAGGCGTTTCTCTTGCCTACGGGGTAAACTGCATGGATCAGGTGGTGCGGAAAAGACTCAGGTGTTCCTCCAGTGGTTTCTAAAAAAATATTTGTAACAGGAAAATAAATGGCTTTCTCTTTTCTGCTTAGATCATCATGCTCAGGAACGACATTTACCGCTGCCGAGCGTCAGGCATCTTTCTTCGCTTGGAGGGCGGTGGCTTGATTGCCGGCAACAACATTTACCACAATGCAGAGGCTGGTGTAGACATCCGGAAAAAGTCCAACCCACTCATACTGGTACTTTGTGTTCGTTCCCTATTCAGGGTGACTCTTGGTTTTCAGAAACCATTTGTGAGGATATTTAAATACACGTTGCCCTCTTGTATTTACGTGCTTCCTGTTTGCAGGTGGCTCCTGCTCTGTCCTCTGCGTGTCCTTGTGACTCTGTGTCTCTGTCTGTGTATTAGCAGTGACTTTGGACAAGTCATTTTCTGGTCATCTCCCCGTTAATAAGGAGGAGGACCAGAAAGACAGGGAAACCTCACAGGGCCCTCAGCCCTCATATGCTGTGGTTGGCTTTGAGTTTGATAAGGTTAAAGAGAGTGATGTCTGCCCTAAAGACACTTGGATCCAACAACAAACAAAAACAACAGCAGCGAACCCACCAAGTTAGTTTATTCACTTGTGTAAGAGGACATTTCGGGTATTTAGTTCTGAAGATTGTTTCGTGGTTATTGTGAGGGCATATTGAGTTTGATTTTCTACCCGTGTGAAAACCACTTAAAATCCTAGACTGTGTGGCCAGTGACACGAGAGACCAGCTCCTTTTCTGCTCTGGCTCTTCCTGAGAAGCAGGTTTGGGGTTTGGGGGTTTTTTATTTTGTTTTTACACAGATTTATGGGGTATGGGAGGAATTTTGTTACATGTATACTGAGAGACAGATTTCCTAGGAGTTGGGAAATATAACAGACTTTTTATGGGCTTGAAAAAATAATAGCCACCATTAATACATAATGCTTATTATACGCCAGATGCTTTTTTAAGCACTTCATAGATATTTACTTGTCATTTAATGCTTACAGAACCCTGTGAAGAATTATTATCATCCCTATTTTATAGTAAAGATATAGAGCCTGAAGAGGCAGAGGATCCTGCCCAAAGTCCTACACCTAGTGACAGAGCTGGGATTTGAATCCAGGCAGTCTGACTCACGGGTAATGCTGAACCCATCATATCTTAACTGCCCATAAAGATACAGAGAGAAGGCTGGGCACAGTGGCTTATGCCTGTAATCTCAGCACTTTGGGAGGCCAAGGCAGGAAGATCACTTGAGTCCAGGAGTTTAAGACCAGCCTGGGCAACATAGCAAGACCCTGTCTCTACAAAAAATTATAAAAATTAGCTGGGCATGGTAGCTCACACCTGTCGTCCCAGATACTTGGGAGGCGGAGGTGGGAGGTGGGAGGATCACTTGAGTCTGGGAGGTCATGGCTGCCATAACTATGGCATGGTCATGAGCCATGATTGTGCCACTGCACTCCAGCCTGGGCAACAGAGCGAGACCCTGTCTCAAAAAAAGAAAAAGAAAATACACACAGCTAGCCAGTGTCTCCTGCCAACCCCTTCCCCTCACTGTGTTTCTACCATGCAGCTGGTGGTTGATGCATGGCTTTGGCTTAGGAAATTATTGCCCCTCTGGCTAGAGAGATGAGGGGTTTGCCCTTCTGAGGACAGAGGGATAGCAGGTGGAGGGGGAAGGGAGTGGTATATTTTAGTCCTGGCGTTGTGAAAGGGTGTAGGGATGGAAATGCTGCTGCATACTCCTTTTGGAGCTCTTCAGCCCTGTGCGGGACTTCTCTTAGGCAGTGGTTGCTCTGATGAGCCTGCCAAATCCTTCAGGAAAAATCTGGAAAGAGTAAGAATAAGGAGAGTTTGCACACGAAACACTTTAAAGCCAACTAGAACTTTATTTCTGCGAAATCATTTTGGAAGAGATACAGCTAACTTCCCAATTTACAAAGTATAGAATTGGACTTCAGCTATAAATTAACTTAGAGTGAGATAATTTTATTATTATTCTAATCTAAAAATATTAAGTCACTGTGCAAAAGCAACTAACTGGAATGGGAAAGAGAAAAACTAGATTTCAGATCTGGCTTTTCCACAAATGTACTATATAATCGTGGGCCTGTTTTCCCATTCGCACAAAGAGATATTAGAAATGAATATCTTGCCGGGTGTGGTGGCTCACACCTGTAATCCCAGCACTTTGGGAGGCCAAGATGGGAGGATCACTGGAGGCCAGGAGTTCAAGACCAGCCTGGGCAATGAAGCAAAACCCTGTCTCTACCAAAAAAAAAAAAAAAAGATATCTCTTGGCATTCTGTAGCTCATACACCTTCTAAGACCTTATGCCCCATGGGACAGCTTGGCCCCCCAGTGTCTGCATCTTCCGCTGGCCCTCCCTAAATGAGAAAGGACTAGAAGTCAAACAACTGTGACCCCTCTCTGGATGTGGCCCCTTTAGGACTGCAGTTGGCCAACATTTGGTTGCACTGGGGTGCTGCCTTTCCTCAAGAGATGGCCTCCCTGGACCCTAGAAGTTATGGCCTGGCCAAATGATTATGTGTTTAGGGGACTCATTAGAGGCTCTGAAACTTTCAGTAGCCTGCCTTGCAGGTGAAGACCAAGAGCCCTCCTAAGAGGCTGGGCAGCGAAGACTCCAGTCTTCATAGTCTCCCTTACAGGTTTTCATGTGTGTACTGGTGCAGGAAGGGCAGGGCGGCAGTGTGACCCATTCCCTTTGTCACGGGCTAGGGCTCTTACAGTGACGTCATTTTCTCCACTGTGTTCATCCTGCCGCGGAGGTGTGGGCGGCACCTGGGCACTCTGCTTCGCTGACGTGTCTGATCTGGCTTCTGTGGTGTCTCATTTTCACTTGCAGTGTAACCAGATCCACCATGGCCTTCGCTCTGGCATTGTCGTCCTTGGCAATGGGAAAGGCATCATCCGGAACAATCAAATCTTTTCCAATAAGGAGGCTGGCATTTACATCCTGTACCACGGAAACCCCGTTGTGAGGTGTGTGCTGCTGTTTCCCTCCTTCATCTTTGTTAACCTCCTCCCTGTCTCTCCTCCATTTGAAAACACTCTTTACGGAAACAACTGTACAGATGCAAGCAGAGAAGAGACTTCACTCATCATCCCACCCCAGTAACACAGCGGCTTTTGTGTTTATGTGCCCTTCCAGTGAACTCCGTGTAGGCGTTCTATTCGGCAGTCACTACTGAGCACTTCCAACATGGGCAGGCTCTGCTCCCTGGGAGCTTACTCTAGCCTGGAGAAATGGGCACAGAAGTACCCCCAGGCAGGGATGGAACAGAGATTTCAGCTCACCTAACAGTTTCAGTTACTTGCTAGTGGTGCCTGGGGGTGCTGTGTCAACATCCTGGTGCTGCACCTGGCCTCAGCACAAAAGCATGCTGTGGTCAGGGACTGATATAAGTGATAGGTGGGAGGCAGCAGTGGCAGTCCTGGGACCCTGTCTGCCATCCCAGCTCTAGTATGGGGCAGACTGTGATAAATGCTGTCAGAGTGGTACCAGAAGGAGAGACTCATTCTGACTAGGAGGATGTGGGAAGGCCTCATTTAGGAGGTAGCATCAGAGTCAGACTTTGGAATATGGGTAAGACTTGGACTCATGGAGATAGGGGTAGGGAGGGGTCGGTGGATGTTCCTAGTAATGGAACAGCATGAGCAAAGGCAGCAGGGCACAGCAGATTCAGGGGTTAGCAAACCGTTGACGGTGGCTTGAGAAAAAATCTGACATGGTGTGACAGTGCTATAGAATATTTTAAATTGGGATGGTCCCAGAATATCTTGGGCCCTGTGGTCACTGCAGTGTGACCCTTGACGTCCTTGCGGCAGACCATCTGTGCCACACAGCAGAGTGGAAAGGAATGATGGAAAGAAAGGCTTGGGCCAGATGAGGAAGGCCTTATGTAGACCAAGCTGAGGCGGGGGAGCCTATTCTGTCTACACAGCGGGGACTCATTAAAGGCTCTGAGCAGAAGACTCACACAGTTATGTCTGTGCTTTAGGAGAATAGCTGGCATTAATGGGCAGCAAGTATATTCAGAGCGCTTTCCCCCAGCATTATTCCATAGGTACTTTGTCTCCATGTTGTTGCATGCATGGCCTTTACATTCATCACTTTGGAAAGTTTCACCATATTCCAGTATTTCGATATGCCATAATTTTTGAACCAGACCTAATTGCTGGTTCAAAAATTACGGAATATAATCCTATTTTTCACTGTTACAGACAGCTTACTAAAAACAATTAGTGGTCATAGAGCTCTTTCCCTTCTTCTGCATTATTGCCTGAACAGAAGAGTGTGTATTTGTATGTGTGTGTGCTGTTCATTGAACACACATTCCAGCCACTCTATATAAGGGGGCAGTGATATACAACATGTACAAGAACAGTCCCTGCCTGCCCCATGGAGTTGACAGTCTTATGCTGGAGATGGACACACACTCACACAGCCATGATGGAAGACTCACCAAAATGAGCACTTTACTAGGCATTCATGCAGACTGACCAAGGAACTCAGCCGTGATCTCAGCTGAGCATGTCAGGGAGCTGACATTTGAGTTGTGCTTGAAAGATAAATAGGATTTTATGGCCAGGGAAAAGGCATTCTGGGCCAGAGGCAGTGAAATTCAGGGTATGTCTGAGAAAATGGTGAGAAATGTGGTGTGTTTGGACACGAGATACCAGAGGGATAGTGCAAAGGCAGGTTGTTGCTGGACGGCAGAGGACCTTGAATGCCAAGCATGATAGGCAGAATAATGGCCCCAAGGATGTCCATGTCTTAGTCCCTGAACCCTGTGCATATGTTGCCTTACAAGGCAAGAGGAACTTTGCAGATTTGATTGAGTGAAGGACTTTGGAGAAAGATGAAAGGAGGTTATTTTGGATGATACAGGTGGGCCCAGTGTAACCACAGGCCCTTATGAGAAGGAAGCAGGGGAATTAGATTAAGAGAGCAGGGGCCGGGGCGGTGCCTCATGCCTGTAATCCCAACACTTTGGGAGGCCGAGGCGGGCAGATCACTTGAGGTCAGGAGTTCGAGATCAGCCTGGCCAACACGGTGAAACCCCATCTCTACTAAAAATATAAAAAATAGCCAGGTATGGTGGCAGGTGCCTGTAATCCCAGCTACTTGGGAGGCTGAGGCAGGAGAATCGCTTGAACCCGGGAGGCGAAGGTTGCAGTGAGCCGAGATCGTGCCACTGCACTCCAGCCTGGGTGACAAGAGCGAGACTCCATTTCAATAAATAAATAAATAAATAAATAAATAAATAAATAAATAAATAAAATATTTTAAAAAATAAATAAATAAGAGAGCAGGAGATGTGAGGACAGAAGCAGAAGTCAGAGTGATGAGGCCACAGCCCAAGAAGTGCAGGCGGCCTCTAGGAGCTGGAAAGGATGAGGAGTGGATTCTCCCCGGAGCCTCCAGATAGAACACAGGTCTGCTGACACTTTGATTTTAGCCCTGTGAAACCCATTTTGAACTCCTGGCCTCCTGAACTGAAAGATAGAAATTTGTATTGTTTTAAGCCACCAAGTTTGTGGTAATTTGTTATAGTAACAATAGGAAACTAATACACCAAGCTGAAAAGTCTGGGCTTTACCTTGGGGATGCTGGGGAACCATGAAAGAGTTTTGGGTGAGGAATATCATAATTAGATCAGTGTTGGGTTTTTAAAACATAGTCATCTTGAGAGAATAGGTTGTGCTTTTTTCCTTTGTTTCTTTGCAATGAGAGATAAGAGTCTGGAGCAGGATACGGAATGAAGTTTAAGATCCCTGTAATGGCCTGGATGAGACAAACCATAGGATCTATTTTTGCCACAGAAAGTTATATTTTTTGTCTTTTTATATGTTATATATGTTTCTCTTTTTTCCTTGGATGCAGAGAAGCACAGGACTCAAATTGTGCTCATCTGCAGTTAATATCCCATCCTGGGCTCTTGGTACACTGATCTGTCCCCTTCTTCTAAGTGTTTTCTCATCCCTCCTGTATCTTTATTCTGCTTGCCCCATGTACACACATACACACACTTCTCCAGGTGGCCACGGATCCTTTCTGGAGGTGAGATTTGTAGTAAAAATATGCCAGGGCTCAGTTACTCATGCTGGTAGTCCCAGCTACTTGGGAGGCTGAGGTGGGAGGATCACTTGAGTGCAAGAGGTTGAGGCTAGCCTGAGCAACATAGCGAGAACCCATGTCTTAAACAAAAAAATTGTAAACATTTTCTGGTTCAAACATTTGAGGGTTGGATAAAATACATATAAGGCCAGGCGCGGTGGCTCATGCCTGTAATCCCAGCACTTTAGGAGGCTGAGGCGGATGGGTCACTTGAGGCCAGGAGTTCGAGACCAGCCTGGGCAACGTAGCAAAACCCCATCTCTACAAAAAGTACAAAAAATTAGCTGGATGTGGTGGCGCACACGTGTAATCCAGGCTGAGGCACGAACATCGCTTGAACCCAGGAGGTGGAGGTTGCAGTGAGCTGAGATTGTGCCACTGCACTCCAGCATGGGCAACAGAGCAAGACCTCAAAAAAAAAAATGTATATATATATGCATGGGTATATATGTAGATGACAGTCAAGTGAGGCTACAGTGAACTGGATATCATTGTGCGTGTATAGCATAGTTGGGGGTTTAGTTTTTGGTCAAGCTGTCCCAGTGACAACTAAACATTTCTATATGCCTGGCTTATAAAGGGACTTTAGGAAATGCTTTTATGCCCCTGTGGACTTGAGCCATAGGGAGGCTCAAGTGATCCTCCACCCCAGCCTCCCAAGAAGCTGGGACTACAGGTGCACACCACCACACCCGGCTAATTTTTTTGTATTTTTTGTAGAGACAGGGTTTCCATGAAAGAAGGCAGTCTCCTGGAAGCATGACATTGATGCCCTGGGCTCACCTCTTTGTTTTGTTTTCCTTCCACTTTAGCGGGAACCACATCTTCAAGGGCCGTGCTGCCGGCATAGCAGTGAATGAGAACGGCAAAGGCCTCATCACAGGTACGGATGGGAACTGCCTGGCACCTGGCAGCCAGGCCAAGGTCCCCTGGCGTCACCCCCCAGCTTCAGGACCTCACACTGCTCCTTTACCCCCACAGACTATGGCCTCTTTCTCTGACTGGTGGGCTGGAGCTCAGGGACGCCAGCTGCATGGTGGCTGTGCTTCTTACAGGAGGGCCTAACACAGAGTGGGTGTCTGCTCCTTCCAGGCCCAGAGCCGACAGGCCCTCACAAGGTGGCTCACAGAACAGTTTCAGAAGCACTGATGCCCAACCACCTGTCCAAATCCCTCCTCTTGGTCTTTGTGCGGACCTCTGCCTGCTCTGGAAACCTCCGCCCGGCTAACCCCTGCTTATCCTTTGGGTCTTAGCTTAACTGTCACTTCCTCAGGGAAGCCTTCCCTGACTTCCCCATTGTACACAGATACACTCACTATACCCAGGATGCCTCCTCTCTAGGGCCTTTGACTTAATTTCTTAGTGGTTTGTGGTGTCCGTCTCCTCTGTTATAAAGTGGTAAATTCCACAAGGTGAGGGTCAAGTCCATCTGGTACATCAATGTAGCCTCAGCACAGAGCAGAGCCAGGCCTGGGATATGAAAGGGATTCCGCAAATACTGGTCCAGGGAATCCCCCTGACTGAACTTATCAGACATGGATTGAGCACGTGTGGTATACAGGCCGTGTTCCAGGAGCTACAAGTGCAGCAGTGAACGAGGCTGTCAGCCACTGACATTTTAGGAGAGGAAGCGAATAAATAAATAAAAGCCTACGTATATGAGCAAAAAACATCCCATCTGAGGGTGACAAGTGCTCTATGGATAATTAAGGCAAAAGAGGGACTGGGTAGGCATTTGGGATTGTGTGGTCAGGGCAGCCCTCTGAGAAGGTGACAAGGAAACCAGACCCTGAGTGGGAGTGGCTGGAGGAGCTGGGAAAGAACCTTCCGTGTAGGGCCGCCTGTGAGAACAGACTTGGCATGGCCGAGTGGACATCGCTTGTGGGACTGGAGTGTGGTGCACAAGGGGCCTGCAGTGGGGACATGGAGACAGGAAGAGGCCAGTCACACAGAGACTCCTGAGCCATTGCAGGTGAGGCTAGCGCCTTCTCACAGGCTTGTGGGTAAATGGCCACATTCTGCCTCTGAGGACTCTAAAGCCAGTTTATTTATTTATTTTTTTTGAGACGGAATTTCACTCACTCTTGTTGCCCAGGCTGGAGTGCAATGGCGCGATCTCGGCTCACTGCAACCTCCGCCTCCCAGGTTCAAGTGATTCTTCTGCCTCAGCCTCCCGAGTAGCTGGGATTACAGGCATGTGCCACCACGCCCAATTTTGTATTTTTAGTAGAGACGGGGTTTCTCCATGTTGGTCAGGCTGGTCTCGAACTCCCGACCTCAGGTGATCCGCCCGTCTCAGCCTCCCAAAGTGCTGGGGTTACAGGCGTGAGCCACCGCACCCGGCCTATTCTTTGTTTTGTTTCCTTTTTGTTTGGTTGGTTGGTTTTTTGGACACCAGTGTCACTCACCAAAGCTAGTTTATTCTTTTTTTTGAGGCAGGGTCTCAGTCTGTCATCCAGGCCAGAGTGCAGTGGCTCGATTATAGCCCACTGCAGCCCTGACCTCCAGGGTTCAAGTGATCCTCCCACCCAGCCTCCCAAGAAGCTGGGACTACAGGCACGCACCACCACACCTGGCTAATTTTTTTTGTATTTTTTTTTAGAGACAGGATTTCCCCATTTTGCCCAGGATGGTCTGGAACTCCTGGGCTCAAGTGATCTACCCGCCTTGGCCTCCTAAAGTACTGGGATTACAGGCATGAGCCACCATGCCTGGCCAAAACTAGTTCATTTTTAATCATCAGTCCTCAAGGCCATTGGGTGTATAGTAGGTGCCGGGGAGATAGGAGTGCACAAGATAGACACAAGCCTTGCCCTTGGGGAAAGGAGTCAGCAGATAAGTCCCTGAAACATCAGACAGCAGACAAGATTTACAGTGCTAATTGCTGGCAGGGTAAGGCCAGGGCCTTCTGGTCTGGAGTAGCCTTGATCAAAACTGTCCAAGTCCTATTTGCCAGCACTGGAGCTGGCCCTTGGGTACTGACCTTCTTTTCTGCTTCTCTCCATAGAAAATGTCATCCGTGAGAATCAGTGGGGAGGTGTGGACATCCGCCGTGGAGGGATCCCCGTTCTCAGGAGTAACCTCATCTGCTTTGGCTATTCAGATGGTGTGGTTGTGGGAGACGAAGGCAAAGGCCTCATAGAAGGAAATACCATCTACGGTGAGGAGCTTGTTCCCAACCCAGCCGGGGAGGCAGGAAGCCCAGGTTCCATCTCCAGCTTGTGGGTCCTGAGAAGGTCACTGCCTTTCCCTGTGCCTCAAAGACCTCATCTGAACAGGCACTCTCAGGCCACAGTCACCCAGGCCCTCCCAGAACAAAGAGCCTCTTACAAATCACATTGTAGTCCAGATTGACCCCGTGGGGTTAGCAAAGCAGAAGGCTTTATCCCCTTTTAAAATAGCAAAAGACAGGAGTTGTGTCATGTCTTAAGGACAGGACCATTTCAGCCCTGGCTCATGTGCATCTAACTCCTCTTATCCTTTCTTTTGATCCCAGAGAACGGAAAATATAATGGGAAAACAAGATAATCACAGGAAGAAAACTCTTCTCACTCACGCAGTGACTTTGGGCAGAGCCTTCATCTGTCTGGACTCTATCTCTAATAATACAGTGATAATAATAAAGATGACTCAGGCCCACCTCTCTACTCAGCCCTTTCTATGCATGATCACATTTAATCCTCATGACTGCCTTCTGAAGGAGGCACGGTTATTAACCCCATTTAAAAGATGAGAAAACTGAGGGACAGAGAGAGGTCTGGTAACCTGCTCAGGGTCTCACAGCTGGGAAGTGGTAGGGCTGGGATTCCAACTGAGGCTGCCTCCTATGCAGGGAGGGATTGGTGCCCCCTTGGCACTGTCACTGTGGGCTCATGTGCTTCTGATGTGGACATGTGGCCTGACAGTCCTCAGAGCACTTTCACACTGTGTGGAACGAGCCGAGCTTGTGAGGTTCACCTGATCCTGATGACCTCTCTTGTGTGAAGGTGAAGTCTGCAGCTAGAGCCATCAGGTGGCTTGTCCGAGGTCATTAGCAAGGCAGGGACTCTCTCCCAGGCCAGTGGCTTTTGTTTCCCCTCTCAGGGAGACTCAGGTGCCGCTTCACCTGAGTTCAGTGTCGGTGACCAGCTCCTCTCACTGTCCCAGCTAACAAGGGCTGTGGTGTGTGGATGATGTCGTCCAGCCTCCCCCATGTCACCAGCAACCACGTCAGCTACAATGGCCTGTATGGAGTGGCAGTATTTAGCCAGAAGGATGGCTCCAGCGAGTTACCTCGAGGCCACAGGGCTCAAGAGAACTTCAGCGAGGATGGGGACGCCATCCTCTGGGAGACAGAGCTGGAGAAGGAGGACGACCCACTGCGCCGGCCCATCACCATAGCTCTTGTTGAGTCTAACAGTATTAATCACAATGGAGGTGAGTATACCCCCTCAGCCCCTGCTCAAGAACCTTCCATGGCTCCCCACTGTCTTTTTTTTTCTCCAATTTAAAACTTTTAATTTAATTTAAATTTAAAAGTAAACTTTAATGTCAAAGATGCAAACCTGGGTAGGGCAGAAAAATCACACACAAGGTTGCCACTTCACACTTGGAGGGTTGCACAGCGGCCAGGCAGAGGCGCTCCTCACTTCCCAGACAGTGTGGGGGCCAGGGAGAGGCGCTCCTCACTTCCCAGACAGCGTGGGGGCCAGGGAGAGGTGCTCCTCACTTCCCAGACGGTGGGGCGGCCGAGCAGAGGTGCTTCTTATTTTTGAGACGGTGCGGCCGCCAGGCAGGGCCTTCTGCAGACTGATCCCAACTTGCCCTCAGGCCTCATCAGCCACTTCTTCCAGCCTGATCCCCAATCCTCCTGTATTTATTCATTAAACTTGAATCCATTCTTTCCTGCCTCCTAACCTGCTGACCTCACTCATGCCTTTCTCCCATCCACACGTCCCAAACTAACTTGAACTTCAAAACCTGTTGTGAATATCCCCCTTCATTCCTTCCTCCTTTGAACTGGGCCCTCCCCATCCCCACTGGCACTTGTTATGAGGCCTCGCGACTGTATTTATTTCTGTGGCTGTTTCATCAACACTGATAGGCCATGAACTTGAGACAAAGAACTGAAGCCCACCCAGCTCAGTGCCCCTGTCCCTGCAGTACCAAATCCCACCTCTGGCACACATGCTTTTAATCAACTCTAGGATACATTTCTCAAAATTCAACATCTCCCACGAGATGCATATCATGGTTTAATTGGCAGTGAGTTTTCCTTCTTAGAGAGGCAGAAAATAAAAGTGTTTTAAATCCATGTTATCCTAAACCTGATGAAAAATGGAGGCCAGGTGCCAGGGATCAAGCCTGTAATCCCAGGACTTTGGGAGGCCAAGACTGGGGGATTGCTTGAGGCCAGGTGTTCAAGACCCGCCTGGGCAACATAACAAGACTTGGTTTCTACAAAAAAAAAAAAAAAAAAAAAAGAAGAAGAAGGAGTAGAGAAAGAAAAATTAGTTGGATCTGGTGGCATGTGCCTGTGGTCCCAGCTACTCAGGAGGCGGGGGGATCGCTTGAGCCCAGGAGTTCAAGGCTGCAGTGAGGTGTGATTGCACCACGGTATTCTAGGTGCTCAGAGCTCAGGAGTGACAGGAGCAAGACCCTGTCTTAAAAGGAAAAAAAAAAAAAAAAAAAAGATGGTAGAAGATGTTTGATATTTCTTGAATTAAAAAAAAATAATTACTGTGTAGTTCACCTAACTCCAGGGCTCCCAAAGCCTCCTGATTATCAAAATCACTGTGGGGTGGGGGTGGGAGGGTAGGATGGATGGGTGGGTCGGGAAATGGAGGAAGGCTTATTCAGAACAGATTCCTGGGCCAGGCGCAGTGGCTCACACCTGTAACCCTAACACTTTGAGAGGCCAAGGCAGGAGGATCGCTTGAGTTTAGGAGTTCAAGACCAGACTAGGCAACATAGAGAGACCTCAATCTCTACTGAGAAAAAAAAAATTTTTTTCAGATTAGCTGGGCATGGTGGTACATGCCTGTAGTTCCAACTACTAGGGAGGCTGAAGTAGGAGGATGCTTGAGCTCAGGACTCAGAGTTCGAGGTTGCAGTGAGCTATGATGGTGCCACTGCACTACTGCCTGGGCAATAGAGCAAGACCCTGTCTCTAAAACAAAATAAAATTAAAAGAGATTCCTGGGCCTGGTAAGCACTTGCTTCTGGTAGTGGTAGAGGACAGGGAGATGGATAACCAGCAGCCCCAACCCACTTATTCAGAAAATGAGTTCTGTCTCCTCCCAGGTCAGAGGTTCCTCCATGTGGCCATGCTGTCTGTCCGGTACGACAGGCAAAGCCACCTACGTTCACAAATACTTATTTTTGTTGTTCTCAACCAAGCCAGGAGAAGCAACAGGCTGGTGCCACCAAGAGATTTGAGCTTGCAGGCTCATGGCTCCAGACACTGCTGCAGGGCCCCAGTCATTGTCCTGCACACAACCTCCCCCAGCACTGCCCCAACCCTTGTTGCTGTTGGTGGGCAGAGGGACCTACCGCAGAGCCCTCCTCTCCTCGCCCCCGGGTCTGGCTGCCCTGCTTTCTTTTCCTGACAAGCCATGGAGCTCTAATCCTGCTGACTTGGGGTTTTTCTCCTCATGTACCTAGTGTCTCTAAGTACACACAACCGCAAGCGTCAGTTTTCCTTTCCCAAATTTCAAACACATTTTTGACACATATTACTCGCTTAGTAAGTTTTTGTACTCCAAAATTACAGAACTTACATTAAGAAGAAAATTTCCGGCCAGGCATGGTGGCTCACGCCTGTAATCCCAGCACTTTGGGAGGCCGAGGCAGGTGGATCACGAGGTCAGGAGATCGAGACCATCCTGGCTAACACGGTGAAACCATGTCTCTACTAAAAATACAAAAAATTAGCCGGGCGTGGTGGCGGGTGCCTGTAGTCCCAGCCACTCAGGAGGCTGAGGCAGAAGAATGGTGTGAACCCGGGAGGCGGAGCTTGTAGTGAGCCGAGATGGCGCCACCGCACTCCAACCTGGGCGACAGAGCGAGACTCCGTCTCAAAAAAAAAAAAAAGAAAATTTCCCCAAACAGTAGGGAGGCAGATTCCAGGTTAGTGTAGGAAGGAGAGCAAAGCAAAACCCTCTAATGAGTAGATCTGCCTGTCCAGAGGGGGAGTGAGCAGCCTTGAGGCGGCAGTGAGCACCCCGTCAGGGAGGTGTAAGCGGCAGTAGGATGGCGGTGGTGCAGGAGGCATTCAAGCACACGGTGGGAGCTCAGGCCAGAGGAGCCTTCTCACATGGTGTTTCCCTGGCTACACTGAATAAGGACTTCATGCAGAAGAACCAGAGTTTTGTTGACGCACCTGGATTTCCTCCTGCTGTTTCATCAGCTTGGAAGACGCAAACTCAAGGGTTGTTTCTGAGTGTTGGTACCTCTTCTTCTCCACTCCGTTCTCCCGGAGTGCACAATTCAGGGAAGGCTTTTCCTGACTGGTGGTGTCAGGGCTGACCCTGGGACCCCCTGTGCTTTCCAACCCTTCCACCCATAGCCTCAGGACTCTATGTCCAGAGCAGCGAGGCACTGCATGTCATCACCAATGTGATCCACGCGAATGGGGACAGAGGCATTACTGTGGCCCAGAGCAGCCAACCCACCCGAGTGGCCAACAACAGCATCTCCTGCAACCGGCAAAGTGGGGTCAAGGTTGAGGCCCAGTGCAAAGTGGAGCTCCGGGGCAATGGTATCTATGACAACAGAGGCCACGGCATTATCACCAAGGGCGACAGCACCATCGTCATTGAAAACGATATCATTGGCAACCGGGGCAGCGGGCTGCAGCTGCTGCCCAGGTCCGACACTAAAGTGAGTATGTCTGCATGTGTGTGACGTGTGGTGCCCACACAGGGCACAACCCTGGGATAGTCCTCGTGGCCTCTGCTGAGAACAGAACCGTAATCACTCAGCACTACAAGGGACAGTATCCCTCCTGCCAGGACTCAGCCTGGGAAATGTGGGTGGGACTTCCCACAGGGGGGGACGGAGAAGCTGAGTCCTGAAGGATGAACAAGGGCTCACCAGCAGGAAGCCAGGGATGGGGTGTCCCCTCCTTGTCATGGTGTTGGGAGCCTCCCGAGTTATCTTCATGGTCTCCGGGTCAAGGTCAGGACTATTTCAGCTCTCTTTCCTTAACAGAATAATCATGCACAGTGCCTGCTGTACAGTAGATGCTTCATGAAGAGAGAGATCCTGCCTTGGGGCCTTTGCATACACTCTTCCCTATATACCCTGCATACCTCCTGCCCGCCTTGCACTGCAGTCCTGCAGCTTAGCTGTATCTTTGTTCAGGAAGAGTCCCTGAGCTCCCACCTCCCACCCCAGGCTGTTTGAGTTATCTCTTGTCTAGTGCTTTTGTCCACACATACCTCACAGAGCACTCCCCACAGGGCTTGGTCCTCACAGAGCACTCCCCACAGGGCTTGGTATCTCTTCCTTCACCTATTTGTCTCCCCACCGGACTGAGCTCTGAGCACCTTTCTATGCAGAGCTCCGTTTCACTGTGGAGCCAAACAGATCTTGTTCCTGCCCTTATGGAATTACGATCCCAAGGGCTCTATTTTTATTTTTAGTTCAACAGTTTTTGGGGTACAGGTGGTTTTTGGTTATATGGATAAGTTCTTTAGTGGTGAATTCTGAGATTTTGGTGCCCCTGTCACTCAAGCAGTGTACACTGTACCCAATATATAGTCTTTTATCCCTCACCCTGCTCCCACCCTTCCCCCTGAGTCACCAAAGTCCATTATATCATTCTTATGCCTTTTCTTCGTCATTAGCATAGCTCCCACTTATAAGTAGTGAGCAAGTAAGGACATAGGATATTTGGTTTTCCGTTTCTGAGTTACTTCTCTTAGAATAATGGCCTCCAAGTCCATCCAAATTGCTGCAAAGGCTGTTATTTCATTCTGTTTTATGGCTGAGTAGTATTCTGTGGTATATATATACCACCTTTTTTTTGTTTTTTTTTTTTTTGAGATGGAGTTTCACTCTTTTGCCCAGGCTGGAGTGCAATGACATGATCTCAGCTCACTGCAACCTCCGCCTCCCAGATTCAAGCCATTCTCCTGCCTCAGCCTCCCAAGTAGCTGGGATTACAGGCATGTGCCGCCATGCCCAGCTAATTTTGTATTTTTAGTAGAGATACCATGTTGGTCAGGCTGGTCTCAAACTCCTGACCTCAGGTGATCGATCCACCTGCCTCAGCCTCCCAAAGTGCTGGGATTACAGGTGTGAGCCACTGCACCCAGCCTATACCACATTTCTTTATCCACTCTTTGGCTGATGGGCAGTTAGGTTGGTTGCATATTTTTGCAATTGTAAATTGTCCTGCTATCAATATGCGTGTGCACATGACTTTTTTTCCTTTAGGTAGACATCCAGTAGTGGGATTGCTGGGTCGCCTAAAGCCTCTTTACAGTTCTGCAGCTTCGTGGGTTAGTGACTTTAGGCAAAGAGTAAAAATGCTGGGGCTTTGCCTCTGAGCACTGTGGGAGCAGAGGAAGGGAGAGAGGGACACACTTTCGTCTCAGTTGGGTTGCCAGTGGCCCTGACTTCTGACACTGCCTCCCCTCTCTGCCAGGCCTTTGCATATTGTTTCTCCTTCCTGCAACAGCTCTCCCTGTTGTGCATCTGATAAATGCCTACAACTCACCTATCACCTCTTCCAGGAAGCCTTCCCTGGCTCCCCCAGGCTGTTCTTGGTGCCCTTCTTTGAGCTCATAGGCTCTTCACTGACCTGCCTGGCATGTTCCTGCCTCTTGGTTTTAGAACTGATAATTCACTTGCCCAGCTCTCCCACTCAGTCTGTGAATCCCTGAGGTGTGACAATCTCTGGCTGCCTCTCCCAGGTAATAAAGAACCGGATCCACTCGTTCCGGGCCTACGGCATCGCCGTGCGGGGCCGTGCCAAGGCCCTGGTGCAGGAAAACATCATCTTCCAGGGCAAAACCAGTAAGACCATCTTTCAGCAGATCTCAAACAACCGAGAATGCATCATGCAAAACAACAAGTTCCTGGTCTTCAAGAAAAAGTGAGTGCTTGGGGTTGCCTGAACGAGTCCTCTAGAGCCACAGTAAGCTCCCTGAAGAAGCCAGGCCCACACCCAGGGATTGTGGCTGCCCGGGCTCCCTGCAACCCTGCCAGCTGTCGACTCCAGTCAGAAAAAGGCCTGTGCCTGGCTCTATGTCAGGCCCGGGCTGAGGACTCCCCAGGAGGGAACAAGCTTTTTAAGAGTCAGGGGTATGTGGTTTCAGATCTCAGCTCTGCAGGTTACTGGCTGTGTGACCTTGGGCAACTTACTTCACATCTTCGAGCCTTAGTAAAATCCATTTAATAAGATCACACTATCTGGCTGAATCTCTGAGGGGCTGTAAAAATGTTAGTTGATGCTGCTGCTGTCCTTTAGTCACTCTGCCTCAATGTATCACAATTGCCGCCACCCATCTTCCTCAAACCTGTCTGTCCTTTCACGTTCTCCATTTCAGCGACATCACCATCCACTCAGTGTTCTGACAACAAAACTTCTGCTGCCTTTTTCTCCCTAATCCGAAGATGTCCAGTCAGTCAGTCACCAGGTCTTGTTGATTCTGCTTCTAAAATGTTCCTTTTTCCAGCACCTCCTCTTCCCCAACTGCCCCCATCCTAATTCAGGTCTCAGCACCGCTCACCCTAACCTGTACCGCCTGTGTTACTGCAATGCACAGCTGTTCCAGTTGCTTCTGCTTGGGCTGTGTTCTGATTGGTCCGTGCTTTCGCTTTCACATTCTGGTTGTAAAATCATACTGATATTTGCTGTAGTTGGTATCACTCCTGCACCGCCAATGTCACCTGTCCCCCTGCAGCAGCCTCCTGCCAGTCTCCCTGCCCGTGGCCACCCCCTGCTCCACTCTGGAGGTTGTCCCATGCATCCTGCCAGGTTAATCTTTCTAAGTGAGAGCTCTGGTCAGTCACATCACATCCATGGTTTAAAACCTCTCATGGATCTTCATGTTCTGTTGTAATGATCTCCATACTTTTTGTATTACACACACTCTCGGGAAAAAATATTCTTTGAAGAAACCCCCCGATGTAGGTATACCTAATTATTTATTTATTTATTTAGAGACCAAGTCTCACTCTGTTGCCCAGGCTGCAGTGCAGTGGTGCGATCTTGGCTCACTGCAACCTCTTCCTCCCAGATTCAAGCGATCCTCCTGCCTCAGCCTCCTGAGCAGCTGGGATTACAGGCGCCCACCACCACTCCCGGCTGATTTTTGTGTTTTTAGTAGAGACAGTTTCGCCATGTTGACCAGGCTGGTCTCGAACTCCTGACCTCAGGTGATCCACCCGCCTTGGCCTCCCAAAGTATTGAGATTACAGGTGTGAGCCACCGCGCCTCACCGGTATACCTATTTATAACTTATATATGTGTATTCTAGCAGTATATTATTTACATTATAAACTATCCCCAAAATAGAAAATTTTAAAGTATACAGTTAAAAAAAACCAAAATTCTAGTATTTTCTTCCAATATCCCAGCAGATTATATTGTGGACTCCCTGGGATCCACCTCCTCCTTCCCTTTGGAGACCCCAGGGTACAGGATACAGCCCGGACTTTGCCAATGCCAGCTCTGGTATTGTCCGCTGTGTACCCTGAGGTCCTAATTGTCTTTTCCAGCCTCTCATTTCATCACTCCTTTTCAGTAGTGCTCCCCTGCTGCCAAACTCAAATACATACAGTCCTCCCAACATAGCTTAGGCCTTTTTATTCACATGCTAGTAGCCAACCTCTGATTCCGTCCACACCTTTCCAGTCCTTTCATTGTAACATCATTATCATAAAAATACATATAAGACAATGTGTTGCCTTAAGCAAATGGAGACTTAGTGTGTAAAGTTGGTTCCTTGTAACTCAAGCATCAGAAAACTCTGACCACAGCTTCACTATCATTTTATTTTCCCTGGCCCTCCATGCTCTCTACAAGAGTTTGGGTGACTGGAAACCCACCAACTTCTATCCCCCATAGATTTGCATTTTCCCAAATGTCATATAAAAGAAATCGTGGCCGGGTGCGGTGGCTCACGCCTGTAATCCCAGCACTTTGGGAGGCCGAGGTGGGTGGATCACCTGAGGTCGGGATTTCGAGACCAGCCTGGCCAACATGGTGAAACCCCATCTCTACTAAAAATACAAAAATTAGCTGGGCATCATGGCACGCAACTGTAGTCCCAGCTACTCGGGAGGCTGAGCCAGGAGGATCACTCGAACCTGGGAGGAAGAGGTTGCAGTGAACCCAGATCACACTACTGCACTCCAGCCTGGGTAACAGAGCAAGACTCCGTCTCGGAAAAAATATATATATATATTAAAAAATAAAAGTAAAAACAAAAAAAACCCAGAAATCCTGCAGTATGTAGTCTTTTGAGTCTGGCTTCTTTCACTTAGCCTAACATGCTGGAGATTCATTCATGGTGTTGCATGTAAGGCGTTCATTCCTTTCAATTGCTGAGTAGTCTTCCCCTGTATGGGTGTACTGCACAGTTTATTCACTCATCAGCTGAAGCGTATTTAGGTAGTTTCTAGTTTTTGGTGATTATGAATAAAGCTTCTATAAACATTTGTGGTCATAGAGCTGAAAAGAAATGAAAGAGGAAAAGCTGGCACCGTGGCACACACCTATAATCCCAGCTACTTGGGAAGCTGAGGCAGGAGGATCACTTGAGCCCAGGAGTTTAAGACCGGCTTGGGCAACATAATGAGACCCTGTCTCACAACAACCACCCTATGATCTTATCCAGATCCTTATTTAAAGTGGAGAAGTCGGCTGGATGCAGTGGCTCAAGCCTATAATCCCAGCACTTTGGGAGGCTGAGGTGGGAGGATCACTTGAGCCCAGGAGGTTGAGGCTGCAGTGAGCCATGATCGTGCCACTGCACCCCAGCCTGGGCAACAGAGTGTCTCAAAGCGGGAAAATTGAGGCCTACAGAGGGACCTTGTCCAAGGCTACATGCAGAGTTGAAGGCAGAGCTGGACGTGGAATGCAGGGCTTTTGCTCCTTAGTTTCTCAACAGCCCACCTCTTTGGACTAACACTAAACTGGAAGATAAAACCTACACCCAGATTTAAACACCTGGATCCACCGATCTGGAACCCAAGTTAAGACTGTGCAGGGCATTCAGCCAGCACTGCACACCCCTCAGAAGTTCACTGACTTTCGTTTTGCACCTCCAGGTCTGATACGTGGCGCCTGGTGAACCCACCAGCACGGCCCCACCTTGAAAATTCTCTCAGACGTCCCTCGGCAGCCCACAATGGGCAGAAGGTGACAGCCATGGCAACGAGGATCACAGCCCGGGTGGAAGGTGGTTACCACAGCAACCGCAGTGTCTTCTGCACCATCCTGTGAGGACACAGACCTGCTTCAGGGCCAAGCCTGGATGGGTGCTCAGAGGAGCTAAGGTGGAAATACTGCCTGAAAAGACTCCGCCCCTCCCCCTCCCCCTCGAACAAATGGGTCCCGGGCCTCCAAAACACGGTACCTCCAGAACACTTCAGCTCCACAGCCCATAGCAAGAAGAAAGTGGGCAATGTTTTTCAGGGAGAAGGGATAGAAGCTGGTGGGTTTCCAGTCACTCGAAGTCTATAAAGATTGTGAAGAGCGGGGGAAGCTCAAATGCTGAAGCTTTTGGTCAGGATTTTCTCTGAGTTCTAAGGAACTGTGTTTTACACACACCAAACCCAGACTCTTCTCAGGAAAGAGCAGATTTACTTCTGATGGCGGGAAGTGATTCTAGTGAGGTGGAGAGAGACAACTGCTCCAGAATTTTCCCCTTTGCTAGAGCTGTCTCCCTCTCAATCCCTCCAGGGACCCCACCACACCCTCCCAGCTGTCTCTGGAGGCTGGAGGAGTTGAGTTTGGTTGACTTGAGGACTTGGACATGGACCTGGGAGGAAGGAAGGACCTGGGAGCAACAGGAGACCCCATGGAAAGGCTGCCCCAGGGATGACAAGAGGGACATGCTGAAACAGGTGGGGCTGCAGCGTGCAGGCAGATGCTAGGCTGGGTGGGCAGGGATGCACAAGGCTCTACTCCATCCCCAGAGAGCTCCCAAATGCAGAAGGATTCAAACCCCATGTGAGCGTGCCCACACCAGCCGCCCCTCCTGAGCATCAGCCTGTTCAGATGAGGGTACCTGGGCCTCTCGTTCGCATCTGTGTTCTCATGGATGAGCGCTGGTCTTTACTGACCCTCCCAAGCCTCCCCACTCTGTGCCTTGGCTCATGCTCTTTCCTCCTCCCGGCATGCCCTTCTCCCCCATCTCCGTGTCCTCGTTCCTCAAGGTTTAGCCGAGACACTGCCACCTCCACATAGCTCTCCCTGCCCTCTTTCCCCCTCTGGGCCTCAGTGGCCTTTCTCTGCTCCCTCTCAGGGTACTGAGCACTTTCTGCCTTGTCCTGGAGCTATCTGGGTCCATTGCCTGACCCCCCACTCACCTGTGTGCTCCCCGTAGGTAGGGCCACTTCTGACTGTGTGTCCCCAGATCCAGCCTGGGGTTGGGGTAGGATTAGTGGCCTGAGTGAGGAGAGGAAGGCCAGCTCCCAGAGGACTTTACTGAACCGTACTGTGAATATGTCCAAGTCCCAAAGCCAGGTGAGGTCAGACCCCACTGCCTGAGGAAGAGGGCTGGATGCAGGGCCAGCTCAACCTGAACAATCCCCTCCCACTCGGCCTTTCCTGTGGGGCCTTCACCAGCCTGCTGGGGTCACTGTCGTGCACTTGGCTGCGTGGCTGGTTCTATTGGCCCTAGGTGCTGCTCTGTTGGGTGGGATGGGAGGGGGTAGAGGGAGCCAGGAGCACTGGGTTCTCCCTGAGAACACTGGGCACAAGAGTACTGGCCTCTTCTATCCCTGGCACTGTCCTTTGCACTTGTTTGGTGGCCCCAATGTGAGTCGCTGTAAAAAATGCTGCCGTTACTATTTTCTAAGAAATGACTTTTCTGTGAACCAACAGTAACAAAAACCTCAGTAACCAAAATAAAGTTCTATATTTTAAAAAAGGCACTTTTGGAAGCCTTTCCTTAGTCTGGGCATATACTGGGGCTCCCAGCTGGCCAGGCCCAGCACTGTTTCCTCTGAAGGAGACAGGAGAATCCTGGGGCCATCTTGTTGGGTCAGCTTGTTCCTGTGACAGTTCCAGATATAGGGCTGAAGGGCTCAATCGGGCTATAATTCCACTCCTGCCTGCTCTGTGAAGACAACAGAAACAGGCCGTCCCCATGGATCACTGGACTGTCAGCTTAGGGACCTCAGACCCCGGAGCACACTTCCCCAACTTCACTTACTCAGCATCTTAGAATTTTTGCTATATCCATATGTCACCTGAGAAGTTAGTACTTTTTTCTTTAAATCTACTTAATTTTTAGAAGTTTTAAATATGCAGAAAAATTGAGCAGACAGATGATTACTAGAGTTCCCATATCACCCTTGCCACCCCCGAGTTTCTGTGTTATTAACATCTTATGCTATCAGTGTACATTTGTAAAAATTCATAAACTAGTACTGGCACATTATTAACTAAAGTCCATAGTTTATTCAGATTTTTTTCTTTTTGAAACGGGATCTCACTCTGTTGCCCAGGCTAGAGTGCAGTGGTGTGATCATGGTTCACCGCAGCCTTGACCTCCTCAGGCTCACTCAGGTGATCCTCCCACCTCAGCCTCCTGAGCAGCTGGGACTACAGGCATGCACCACCACGCCTGGCTAATTTATGTATTTTTTTGTAGAGACGGGGTTTTGCCATGTTGCCTAGCCTGGTCTCAAACTCCTGGGCTCAAGTGATCCGCCTGCTTCAATCCCCCAAAGTGCTGGGATTACAAACATGAGCCACTGTGCCTGGCCTCAGATTTCTTTAGTTTGTTACCTAATGTCCTTTTTCCATTCCAGGATCCCATCCTACAACATGTCTTTTTTTCACACACTGAAAAGACTTTTTATATTACTATAAACATACATTAAACTATTAAAATGAAAATATTCATTGGTTTTGGTAGTTACTGTTTGCTGCCCCTCAGGGAGAGTACATGCCCTCTCACGTTGCCATGGGACCTGATTTGCCCAGTGAATGTAGGCAGAAGTGGTTAATGGTCACTTCTGGGTAGAAGCTTTAAGGGCCAGCAGAACTTGCCCCGATCGTGTGTCCCTCTGCCAGTGGACCACCACGTGTCAGACATGGCAGCCCGAGTCCCGGGGTGAAGCTAACCCGGAGCAGGGTCCCAGGTGCCTGCTGGCTGACAGACATGTGCCAGACATTCAACAAAAGCAAATGAACTTTTGTTGAAACCAGACATTTGAGGGCCATTTGTCACTTCAGCTTAGCCTAACCAGCAGAACACAAGTACTTTACTACATCCCTGAGCCACCTAAAATCATCGTAAGTTCTGTCAATAATGTATTAAACATTGACTTGGTGAGCTCATTGTCCCCATTTTGGAGGCTGGGAGTGCTGATGCTCCTGAGATCCGGCAGGGGAAAGTTCCCTATCAGATGTGGAGAGGTGTGAGGAGGGCTATTACCTGGAGCAAAGGTGGCAGGGAAGGGAACAGCTGGGACACAAATTCCCTCCAGGTCATTTGGAGGCAGAAGTGGGAGGAACAGAACACCCACCTTAGCTCTTGTGTTTGGGGAAGAGTCAGGGAGTGCGGGTGCTTTGCACAACAGGCCAGACTTGCCCAAGAAAACTGAGCCCATCTAACTTTTTACTTAATTGAGCCAAAGTCTCTCTCCCTCGCTAAATTCTACCCCTCCTTCAGAAGCTCCTTAGTCACTACTTCTATGGAACACCTTCCCCTGTCTCTACAAATAACAGTTAACTGCGCCTTCTCCATGCTCCTGTGCCCACTCAGCCACATGCCACCTGCAGATGGCACTGAATCCTCTCTTTTCAGTCTGTTGGTTGAGGGCAGGGACTTTGCCCATCTTGTTCACTGTTGATTCTCTATGCCCAGCACAGAGCAAAGCTCACTAAGTGTTGGATGGATGGCGGACAGACAGGCAGACAAATGAGGAAACAAACCCAACCTCATTCCCAGAATCTCTACCTCCTGGGGCCCCCAAAGGACATCTCTTCACTCTGTTCTGTGACAACTCTTCAGAGATTTGCAGGCAGCACCCTCATCCCCCTGGGGTCTGCTGCCCTCCTGGGTTCCTCTCGTATGTGCCAGTTTGCAGGGTGTCTCTTCACCACCCTGGTCATTTCTCTAGACTCACTCCAGTGGCCTGGGTAGGTCTGGGAGAGCCCAAAGAAGCAGAGTTGAGGCGTCCTGTCCTGTATCTCAGGAGGAATGGCCCAGCTCCATGGGCAGCACTCACGGATCTAAAGAGAATTCTCTAAAGTACTGTGTTTCCTTGGAATCATTTGCTTTCAGTCTGCAGTAGCTTCCCTCCCACCCACAGGAATACTGCCATGGGTGAAGGCTTCACTCTGGTGCAGAGTTCACAAGAGGTTCCAGCTGACCTCTACCCAAGCAGCTTATACTGTGTCCTCCCTGGACTTCCCTGTTGGCCAGTCAGGCCCAAACACGGATGTCTGCTGATGGGAATGTACAAGCACAGCAAACACCAGTATGATTTCATCATCTAGGCCTCCAGGTCTTGGTGAGGCCACTGCCCTGGTGCCCAGAGGAAGTCCTAAGTACAGCGGATGTGGACATGGTATGGCCAGACCAGGCAAGAGCCAGAGATGAGCCTTGGAACAGCACATGAGCCTATACTGTCAACAGCACCCCTGGGCCCACCTTCTTCAATCTCCCTTCTGACAACACAGAGCAAGCTTTCTCTCCAAATGCTTCCTCATGGTGGGCTCATGTGGGGCATGCTGGGCTTATTCCTACCCGGATCAGCCTCCCGACACAGGCATGCTCGCCCCATTGGTACCTTCTCACTACCCTCCAGACCTCTGCAGGGTGCCCTTCATGGAGCTCCTGAGCCCGTCAGCTGTGTAGTGTGCTTTTTAAATGAAGTCAAACCTAGCATGGCCTCCTGGTGCAGCCTGAGCTCCCCATCACAGAGCTGTCACCTCTACCCCGAGCCTAGTTCTTGCCTGAGTGCAGCTGAAGATCCCATCTGTCTGGTGGTCAGGATTGCATTTCACTTCCTGCTTCAGGCCCATCATTCATGTCATCCGCTATTCTCCGCTAAAAGGCCAGAGCTCCTTGGATAAAAGACGGATTCAAAGCTGGGCGTGGTGGTGCATGCCTATAGTCCTAGCTACTCAGGAGGCTGAGGCAGGAGGATGGCTTGAGCCCAGGAGTGGAGTGAGCTGACTGCACCACCGCTCTCCAGCCTGAGCGACAGAGCAAGACCCTGTCTCTAAAAAGCAAAACCACAACAAAAGACTGACTCCAGGGCTGCAGCAGGGAAAGTACAAGGTAGGCCTGGAATATCTCATGCTAGAAAGTAAGGAAGCACCCTTAAAATGATGGGATCCAGGAGGTTTCCTGAAGGAACTCAAGATTGGCCAAATACATACAATCTGGACATCACAAGGAATCACAGTAACAGACTCCACATAGAACACAAGACTCTTGAGTCTATGCCAATAACTAAATGAACACAAAACTTCTAAGGTCGAGAAAACAAACTGCCTTATAAGAGCATGCCAATAATTAGAAGAAACGATAATGTTGCAAAATCACCATTTTGCAACCATCTTGGTAATTGATTCAGCAAGAATCATCAATTGAGGCTGAAACTAGTAGGTGAAAGTTTGATGAGGAACAGGATACTTAGTTTCAAAGTATCCCTCCAGAAATTACTTATTAAAAGGAAAAACAGTATCTTCACAATGCGGAAAACACAACCTTAACTGATAAAAGTTAACAGCAGCAAGGAAAGCGCAGTCCCACATCATGGGCCCCTAATGTGATGCATGTGGGTCACAGCATCATTTCTGTGCTGTTCCTGCCAAAAATGTAAATCCTGAATCCGATCACGGGAAAGCCCCAAATGTAAACTGACAGACACCCTAAAGAATAACACCTCACTCTCCAAAATGTCAAAGCCGAGAAAGTCCAATAAAAATCTGAACTGTTTCAGATTAAGCAAGACCAAAGAGGCATGGTGATCGGTAAGATTTGAACATGAACTGTGGGCTAAGTCATAGTATTGCATTATTGTCTTATTTCCTGCATCTGATGGACTGTGGTTATGGAAGAGAAAGTCCTGATTCTTAAGATGTACACACTGAAAAAGTACTTATGGGTAGAAGGGTAGGATGTTTTCCTCAAATGGTTCAAAAACAAATCTCAAAATGTCTAAAGCAAATAGTAAATGGGACAAAGTATTGACAGTTGGAGAATCTGGGTAAAGGATATACAAGAGTTCTTGCAAGTTTTCTCTGTGTGAAACTATATCAAAATACTTTTTTAAAAGAGGAGACACTTGAAAGAATGTTATGTAATTTACTATTTCCAGGTTAGGGTCTCCTGCAAATGTGGTAACTATGCCTTCTTTGACCTCATCCCAATTAACAGTGTCCAGCAGGTCAGGGCAGCAAGCAAAGACTTCCCTCTAAGGAACAGACTTCATTCTGTTAATCAAACCCTGCCAAGTTAAGACTATCCCACAAACTACAAATCTTCAGGGCACCAGCATCTGGCTCATAGTCCCCCTTTCTTCAATGAGGCCATCAGGAGACATTCTGGCAAATAGCTTGGTGAGATCAAGGTATCCTCTGGGAATCTATTAGTAAACAAATGGGTTTCTAAAGCCAGAAGAAACCCTAGTACAATCCCATTATTCTGCAGGTATTTACCACCTAATAACCCTGCCAAGGAAAGTACGGTTCATGCCGACTCATTCTGCAGACACTGACCACTTTCTATGTCAGGTATTGTGCTAGGTGGAGCCCTCTTCTGAGCCTTTCCTAAGGACTCACAAATCTCCTAATGTACAGAAATTTGCTTTTTAGCCTCTTGGAATGTGTCCCCGACATTTAGCAAAATACACCTGTTGACACACGACAAGTATTTGCCCGCCTAGTCTTTCCCTATCCATACCTACAGTCATTACCACCTGCTTCTCCACTAGGTCAGAGGTTGTTCAGAGGGTCCCAGCCACATGCTGTGTCCAGTCATTCCCAGAAATTAAGCCTCCAAGTGTCAAACCCAGCTGAATTTTAAAAGTAATCACAAAAGGCTGGGCGTGGTGGCTCACGCCTATAATTCCAGCACTTTGGGAGACCGAGGCGGGCAGATCACCTGAGGTCAGGAGATTGAGACCAGCCTAACATGGAGAAACGCTGTCTCTACTAAAAATACAAAATTAGCCGGGCATGGTGGTGCATGCCTGTAATCGGGAGGCTGAGGCAGGAGAAGCACTTGAACCCGGGAGGCAGAGGTTGCAGTGAGCTAAGATCACGCCATTGCACTCCAGCCTGGGCAACAAGAGCGAAACTCCATCTCAAAAAAAAAAAGTAATCACGGAAACACATTCTACCCTGAGGATGTATTAGAAGTCCTTTTCTGAGAGATTATTTTTTCCAAGGAAGAGTCACATACTTGATTTTCACAACGGCTTAAAGGAAAACAAGAGACAAGTAGATTCCCTGCCCACACCTCTGCTGAAGGAAGACAAAGTATGCTCCAAGTGCCTCCTACCCAGGGCCAGAGGCAGATGGGGACAAAGCAGAGGAGCACAGCTCTGAGGGCATCCCAGACCGCAAAGAAAATAAGGTGCACCTGCCCCAAAGCTCAGCCAAGACTCCTTTCCACTGTGACTCCCAAATGGAGGGCCCCAGGTGCTGTGTAAACTTCTCCTCTCAGAGGAGCTGAGTTCTGTCTCCCTCCCTTCACTGACCCGGCCTCCCAGGTGCTGAGTGTCACAGATCTCAACTGCTCCCACTTGAAGCAGGACCCTGAGATGTGAGACTGGGCCCAGGCCACGTACCTAAGCCTTCCTGTGTCACACTCCTGTCCTTATAGCACCGCTCTGGACACAGCTTCTCCATCTCCTCAGTGGCACATACAATTGGTTGGCAGTTATAATCCACTCATGTCCTTCTAGAATGCCTCCTGTAACTAGAGGCTGGTGAGCTGAAACCTATTTCAAAGACTCCCATTCTGCTAGGATTCTACATGCTAATCAGGCTCCTATATATGCGCACCAGAAGGAAGCAAGGTGGAGGCCAGCTGCTTGACCTTCTGGCTGTCTGTGGTGACAAAGTGGTGGAAATACAGGACCTTTGAAAGCACGGGTAGGCTGGGCACGGTGGCTCACACCTGTAATCCCAGCACCTTGGGAGGCCAAGGCGGGTGGATCATGAGGTCAGGAGTCCAAGACCAGCCTGGCCAACACAGTGAAACCCTGTCTCTACTAAAAATGCAAAAAAATTAGCTGGGCATGGTGGCGCATGCCTGTAATCCCAGCTACTCGGGAGGCTGAGGCAGGAGAATTGCTTGAACCAGGCCATGGGAGGCGGAGGTAGCAGTGAGCGAGATCGTGCCACTGCACTCCAGCCTGGGCTACAGAGCAAGACTCTGTCTCAAAAAAATAAAAAGAAAAAGAAGAAAGCATGGGTAGCTGAAATCAGCAGCCCAGTGTTGAATCTTCAGCTGCATGAATTCCAGGAGCAGTTATGGAGCAGAAGTGGCTTCTGAGTCCCCGATGGCAACCCCGGCAGTGTGTTCTTGAATTCAGCAGTCCTGACGGCAACCTTCCGATTCCCAGTCCTCTGGCCCTTGTCACAATTCTACAGCACCTTATCCATACATTAAAATCCATTCTTCTTAAGATACCTAGAGCAATTGATTTTCTGAACTGAACACTGACTGATTCATCCTCTTCAAAGTGTGGCTTTCATAGCTGACCCCTGCCTTCTATGTGGCCTCCACCAGACAGAGAAATTGGGTCACCACTTCCTCTGACTTGGCTCCACCCCATTACAACAGGCTGTATCCTACTGGCCTGTGGCAGCCCCCATCACACTGGTGACCCAGTTAGCTTCTGATAAAGCCTGAAGTGTCATTTCCCAGGCGTGCTGGGCCAGATCCTCCTTCCTCACTGCGTACTCCACTGGCCCTTCCAGACCTAAGCACGCCACTTCACATTTCTCTTTGGAAACCTTCATCCATTAGATTTGACTCAGCCTGGTGAGTCAACTTTGGGAGGGAGGACCCACCCTCCCAAATCCCCACAGGTGAACCAACATGAGAAACATCTGCCATTTATAATCACAGCAATAATACCAAAGGAGAGAGATGAAGTCCAACCTGGCCATCGCTTTATATTTCTGCATAAGACAAGCACAGTTGAGATGCTGGCTTCTGGCTTCATACCTGTGCTAAAGCAAGGCTTCTTTTTTCCTTATGTTACTTTTTTGAGACAAGGTCTCACTCTGTGACCCAGGATGGAGTGTGGCCACACAATCATAGCTCACTGCAACCTTGATTTCCCAAGCTCAAGTAATCGTCCTGCCTCAGCCTCCCGAGTAGCTGGGATTACAGGCGCACACCACCAGGCCTGACTCTTTTTTTTTTCCTCCGGTAGAGATGGGGTCTCCCTATGTTGTCCAGACTGGTTTCAAACTCCTGAGCTCAATGATCTTCCTGCCTCGGCCTCCCAAAGTGCTGGGATTTCAGGTGTGAGCCACCATCCCCGGACCTTTTCTTTTCAAAACATACATAAAAATGGAAATGAATAGGACCAGCCAGTGGCTGTGATGCAGCCAAAACGCCCTGTCTGGAAAGCATGCGTCTAGGTAATCTTCCTCCGCTTTGCCAGGCGGTCTGAGGTCTGGGCTGGAGGCAGCGGGAGGGACAGGGTGCCCAGCTTGTGATCTTCTTCACTGCCGGCGGCCACAGACACCCTTCTTTTGGAGATCTTCAGCCTCATGGCTTTGGCTATCTCCATCATCCTAAGGAAGACATAAACAGAAGAACTGGAGAGACCCCTCAACATGACTGTTCAGGGAGGTTTGGCAAAAGGTAGCAGCACATTCATGCTCCAGGCCATAAAGACAGAATCCCAAAGGTTGCCAGCAGGCACAAAGCCCCTGGCAGAGAGGCAGGCAAGGTCCCCTCACCCGCTGGGAACCATCAGACAGCCAATTTCATTTTAATGCCCTTCAAAAGATCCATATGGGTGATGAAAAACCAGGGTATCTACAGCCCCGTGAGCAACTTTCTTTACCTCCCATAACCAAACTTTTAGCAACCAGGATTGAGCACTTGCTAGAATCTGACAGGTTCCAAGTACCTGTTCTCTTTTTTTCAGCCTCACTGCCTGTGGGAACACAGTTTGTGGACAGCCCTCAGAACAGTCCCTCCACGGACTGCTAGAGAGTCCAGACAGAGGTGTGTTCACAGGCTCTCCTAGACACCCTCTGGGCCACTGGATGTCAGATGCCCCTAAATCACTGACAAAGATCAGCTGACCTCACAGTTCAGGTTCCTGGGCAGCTCTGCCCCTACTGTCTGAATCTCCTCTACAAGGCTAGATGGAGCCTAAAAGGTCACCTCCACCACCAGCTCTCCCAGTTGGGTCAGAGAAGTGCAAACATAAAATCCCTGCCAAACAGCAGTTCCACCTGGCCTTGGAACCAGCGGTTCCCCTGGCAAACCCTTCCATCTGATTGTGAGGAAGCTCTTCTTACTAAGCTCAAATTGGGTTGTCCTACAACTTCCACCCTGAGCTGCACTCCTCAGAACCATACAGAATCCCTCTCCCCTGTGACAGCAATTCAGAGAATGGAGGCTGCCTGGTTATTCAGAACAGAATGTTATGGAAAGGCTCAGGTCTCAAGGCCAACTACTCCCCTCTTGGTTGTGTAACCTTGAGAATGTTACGTACTTTTCTGAGCCTGATTCTTCAATTGTTTTCTAGGGAAATCAGTGAGATAATGACATAATTTATCTAGCACAGAGAAGGCACTCAGTAATGTCTAGTTGCTCATTCAGTCAATGATTCATTCATTGAAAATAGTCCTTTAGTTCCAAGTTGTTCCCACATTTAAACATCCTCAGTTCCCTTGGTGGTGCCTCATGCTTTCCAGTGGTACCAGAAATAAGACATCGAGACACCCTGCAGGGAGCTCTTTATTCTGTTGTGCTCACCTTTTCTCACTGAGCTTCAAGTCCCTCTGTAACACTGTCAGGTCAATTTGGAAGTCATGTATGTGCAAGGCAAGTATGATCACATATGCAGTAATCTTCGCCTTCATAGAATCCGAAATTAAGTTCCGTAATCTAGAAAATCAGTGGCAATAAAGGAGAAACAAAATTAAACTCTCAGACAATTTCTCCAAAAGCAAAATAAGAACATCCAATCCTATTCTCATATGCACGGAATGTCTTCCCAACTTCAGGAAAGGAAAAGGAATGTGGGTGACTTTGCCCTTCCAAGGTTCCTGGGCCTCACACACAGTGGAGCAGTGTGCCAGTCCATGTTTCCCTCTGAGGCAGATAGAGAAAGCTGGGCCTACACTCTACCTGGGCACTGCTAGCGCTTTGAGCTGGTGAGGGCCCTGTGAGTCTGTCCCCGCCTGCCCAGCAGGGCTGCTGGGAAAACAATCATCCCGAAATCAGCTGTGCTGATTCTTCCAAGCACACTCAAGAGCAGAAAACACACGCCATGCAAATGGCAGGAAGGAAGCCCAGGGGCAGGGCCTGCGGGTCTTTCCCCAGAGTCACCGAGTTGGGCTGCCCTTTTCTGCAATGCTGCCTTTCCGCAGAACACCAGCTCTGTGAGACATCGGGAAGGGCTATTCAAAAGTATGTGAAGTAAAACAAGTCTTTATTGTAGGACTTCCCAGAGCTTCTAAGGTTCCCAAAAGGTAATACTTTTCTAAGAAGGGCAGAGTATGTCATATTTAGCATTTGCTAAACTTACTGGGGCCCCAGGAGCCTTCCAAATGGCAGCAGTCTTTTCAGCACTGCATCTCCGTGGACATGGAATTGAGTCCAAGCCCCTGCTCCTCACTCCCAACCCCCACCTACTTTCTCCTGCACAAGAAAAATCCCAGCAACCACCCCCTGACCTGCCATTGTTGTAGGTCAAGCAAGTAAAGTGCTTCAGCAGTTTGGTGTTGATGATGTGGGGAACTCCAGGTCCCAGAGCACCTACAACACAAAGTTGAGTTTGATCATTTTCTCTCAAAACCCTCAGGCCACACCTCAACCATGAGCTAAGAGAAAAGGCCAACAGCTGGGCCACTGCAATGACCAGAACCAGGTGGTAAGAGAAGCAGGGCCCACACAAAGCAGAACAGCCACATCAAAATGAAAACATGCTTGGTGTGCTGCAGCCTGCAGTTTGCCCTGCACGAGAGATGCTGGTGATGGGGCAATGACAAGAAAACACAGCCTGAGGCCTAAGGACCCAGAGTTAACATGACCTTAGAAAACAAAAATTGTGCTGAAAGCTCAGGGAGAGAGGGGGAAAGGTGGAATTGGAATGTGAAAATAAGAACTAAGTGGCCAGGCGCGGTGGCTCACGCCTGTAATCCCAACACTTTGGGAGGCCGAGGCAGGCAGAACACCTGAGGTCAGGAGTTCAAGACCAGCCTGACCAACATGGTGAAACCCCATCTCTACTAAAAACACAAAAATTAGCCAGGTATGGTGGCGCAAACCTCTAATCCCAGCTACTTGGGAGGCTGAGGCAGGACAATTGCTTGAACCCAGGAGGCAGAGGTTGCAGTGGGCCAAGATTGCGCCACTGCACCCTAGCCTGGGCAATAGAGTGAGACTCCATCTCAAAAAAACAAAACAAAACAAAACAAAACAAAACAAAACAAAACAAAAAACAACTGGCTGGGCATAGTGGCTCACACTTGTAACCCCAGCACTTTAGGAGACCAAGGCAGGCAGATCATGAGGTGAGGAGTTCGAGACCAGCCTGACCAACATGGTGAAACCCCGTCTCTACTAAAAATACAAAAATTAGCCGGGTGTGGTGGCGGGCGCCTATAATCCCAGCTACTCAGGAGGCTGAGGCAGGAGAATCCCTTGAACCCAGTAGGTGGAGGTTGCAGGGAGCCGAGATCGAGCCACTGCACTCCAGCCTGGGCGACAGAGCGAGACTCTGTCTCAAAAAAAGAAAAAAAAAAAAGAACTAAGCAAATACAAGCTGGGTGCAGTAGCTCACGCCTGTAATCCCAGCCAGCATTGTGGGAGGCCAAGGAGGGTGGATCACCTGAGGTCAGGTGTTCGAGACCAGCCTGGCCAACATGGAAAAACCCCGTCTCTACTAAAAACACAAAAATTAGCTGGGCGTGGTGGTGCCCGCCTGTAATCCCAGCTACTCGGGAGGCTGAGGCAGAATTGCTTGAACCCAGGAGATGGAGGTTGTAGTGAGCCAAGATCATGGGACTGCACTCCAGTCTGGGTGACAGAGCGAGATACTGTCTCAAAAAAAACAAAACAAAAACAAAACAAAAAAACAACAAAAAAAGCATGACTAAGCAAATACAGTCATGTCCCACATTACAGTGTTTTGGTCAATGACAGGCCACATATGTGACAGTGGTCCCATAAGATTTTTTTCACACAGGGTCTTGCTGTCACCGAGGCAGTGGTGCAATCATAGCTCATTGTAACCTTGAACTCCTAGGCTCAAACACTCTTCCTGCTTCAGCCTCCCAAATAGCTGGGAATACAGGCGTGCACCACCCCAGCTAATGTTTTTATTTTTGTGTAGAGACAGTGTCTTGGTATGTTGCCCAGGCTGGTCTCAAACTCCTGCCCTGAAGTGATCCTCTCACCTTGGCCTCTCAAAGTGCTGAGATATAGGCATGACCCACCATGCCCAGCCAGTCCCGTAAGATTATAATATCATAGTTTTACTATTCCTTTTCTGTTTAGATATATTTAGATATACAAATACCATTGTGTTACAATTGCCTATAATATTCAGTATAGTAACATGCTGTATAGGTTTGCAGCCTAGGAACAGCAGCTTATAGCATATAGCCTAGGTGTGTAGTAGGCTATACCATCTAGGTTTATGTAAATATACTCTATGATGTTTGTACAATGACAAAATTGCCTAAGGATACATTTCTCAGAACATATCCCCATCATTAAGCGACACATGACTATACTGAAAAACAGGAGTATAGACTACTGGATGCCCAATCACAGTAACAACAACTAAATACACCTTGTGCCTAAAACCACAGACATCTTCTGGGTTTCCAACTCTGGGTAGGTATGAGGGTGTGACCCGCAAAGGATCCTAGCTACAGGTGACACTGGGTTACCATCAGATTGACTCTCTCCTGTTAGAAATAAGCTGACACAACACAAACCTGCCACAAGCCTTCAAGATACATCTGTGTAACTCATAAGCTCTCTCTATATATACACACACACACGCACACACGTGGCTGATGTTTGTTCTAACAGTCCCTTAAAGTTTTCCTTTTATTTGACCTGGATATTCTACTTTGCCTCATGCAGAATAGAAGTAGCAAATGTTAGCTCTGGAAGGACCCTGAACTATCATATAATCCAACGTGGCCCCAATTTTCAGATGAGAAAATGGGAGATCCAGAGAGAAAAAGGGGCCTGGCAAGTCCCCTCGACATGTCAGCAGTACCAGAATGAATCTCACAGTTGACAGTAAAGACTTGGACAGACATATCCATTTTCTTCTCTCATCAGAACTCATCTAAGAATTACAGACAAATAATATACTGGAAACAATTAGAATAAAATGTTTATCATAGACTTACTTTTCCGCTTAACTACCCTATGAGCTCGAAATTTGATGAGGGTATCCAGAAACCATATGCATCGGGCCTGGCGGTCTCGGCTCTCCACATCTGATGGCAAAGACTTCAACGCTTCTATGACAAAGGTGCAATGGCTAAAACAAGGAAAAGAAAAGGAGGCCTGTGTCAGGGTAAGATGGGCTCTGTCAGGAACTACTTCCCTCTTACAACGAGAACAGCAGGCGCCTCTCACCCCGACGCACTCAACAGCTGATGAAACCCTGGGCAACAAGGCAAGACCCCATCTCTACAAAAACGTAGCCGGCATGGTGGCACATGTGTGTGGTCCCAGCTACTCGGAAGGCTGAGGCGGGAGGATCACTTGAGCCCAGGAGGTCGAGGCTCCAGTGAGCTGTCTGCGCCACTGTACTCCAGCCTAGGTGACAGAGCAAGACCCTGTCTCAGAAACAAAAAAAAACAAACGAACAAAAGCAGCTGATGAAGGGCCAGTACACTCAACACTCCTTATAATAGGAGAACATGGTTCAGTGCAGGGATGAATAAAGGGCTAGACAGTAAATATTTTAGGCTTTGGAGGCCATACAACCTCTGTTGCAACTACTTGACTCTGCCATCGTAGTGCGAAAGCAGGCACAGATATTACTTACGTAAATGAACAGGGCTGTGCTCCAATAAAACTTTATTTATACTTTACTTACTCACAGGCAGCAGGCCAGACTTGGCATGTGGGCTGTAGTTTGCTAACCTCTGACCTCTGTTTTTATAGTCAGGAGCATAGACTCTGTAGTCAGCCTGCCTGGGTTTCAATCCTTTCTCTGCCATTTAATGGTTTAGGCAAGTTTCTTTTTTTGTTTGTTTGTTTGTTTGTTTGAGACTGAGTCTCACTCTGTGGCCCAGGCTGGAGTGCAATGGCGCAATCTTGGCTCACCGCAACCTCCGCTTCCTGGGTTCAAGCGATTCTCCTGCCTCAGTCTCCTGAGTAGCTGGGATTACAGGCATGCACCACCACGCCCAGCTAACTTTGTATTTTTAGTAGAGATGAGGTTTCTCCATGTTGGTCACGCTGGTCTTGAACTCCCGACCTCAGGTGATCTGCCCGACTCAGTCTCCCAAAGTGCTGGGATTACAGGTGTGAGCCACCGTGCCCAGCGGGGCAAGTTTCTTGGTATCTGGTGCCCTGGTTTCTCCATCTATAAATTGGGGCCAATGATAGTACAGGTACTCTCCTCCTGAGCATTTTTTCTGGATTAAGAGATGATGCCAGTAAAGCTCTTAGAACAGTGCTTGGCAAAAATGTTAAGGCTCAGTCAATGCTAACTATTATTTTCAGGCACTGCTCTACTGCTAGCAAGACCCTGGACTCACAGAGATAAAAAGGCTCTTCAAGATCATCTCATAGATGCCTCATTTTACAGATAGAAAAACTGAGGCTTCAAGAAGGGAAGATAAGGGCAGAGTTCGGGGACTCAGTTTTCAGACTCCCCGCTCAGAGTTCGTTCCTGCACCTGCCCCTGAGTCACAATCACATTAAGACAACTATGAACTAGTAATGAGCTCTTTTTTGGAAATAAATCTTTGAAGCAAAAAAAAAAAAAAAAAAAGAAATAATAATAATAATTCCAAGGCACTGGATTTCAATGACCAGTAAAATTTTAAAACAAAAACTGGAGGAACAAACCTCAGATTGACAACTCTTTATCAAAATAAAATTATTAAAAGAAAAAACTCAAAAGCAAAAAAAACTCACTATCATAAAAGAAGCTGTTTTAATGGGAAAGGGGAGGGAGAAGGAAATAATCTCTGAATTATTTAAAATATACAATATTTTAAATACATAAATTTAATGTTAGAAAAGTTTGCCTACCATATCATCACAGAGAAACCATCACTTTGGCCAGCACCCATTCCCAGGCCAGCATTTGGGCCCTGCCAGTGACAATCAGCACCAGCATGACACTGGGTGACACAGGCCAGCTCTAGTTCCCAGCCCCAGAGTAGAAGGCCTCACCACCCTCTGCCCTGTCGCAGGTCCCACGGACTCAGAGACCAGCCCTCTCCCTCGAATGTGACCCACAGCTCCTGAAAGCCCAAACATTCAAGAAAACACTGGCTCATTCATGTCCAATGCTCCAGACACACTTCCTCACTGACTGACGCCCAGAGGACCTGCACAGTGTCTGACTACTGTTGGGTCCCAACAGCACTCCCCAGAATCCCCATCTGCTTAAGTCAGGGTACCTGTTCTCCTCAATCATCTTCAGTATTTCTTCTGACGTGACGTTCCTGAAAGCTTCAGATGGGCTCTGAAGAGCTTCATACTCCGCAGGGGAAAGAACTAGTTACAGGTCAAGAATATAATCCAACCAAAATAGAAACATCCAACTAGCTAGGTCATCTCATAGCAGTGGCATTTCACAGACAGGGAAACAGGCTCAGAGAGCCAAAGATCACACAGGGCAGATCACATAGGGGCAGAGCTTGGTGACTCAGTTCTCCGACTCCCAGCCCAGAGCCCATTCCCTGCCCAGGCTTTTCTGCTTTTTCTCATCACAAAGCCACTGCAGGCATTTTCCTTCTGACCGGACCCCTTGGGTGGTGAAATTCTAAGCTCCAACCCTTCCTTCAACAAAAGTGGTCTGCCCTAGACTTTGGGCATTTGGCTGGTTCAACTCTTATTTTGACTCTCCATGGAGAGTGAGCCCC
This sequence comes from Homo sapiens, assembly GCF_000001405.40. NCBI lineage: Eukaryota > Metazoa > Chordata > Mammalia > Primates > Hominidae > Homo > Homo sapiens. Next base: position 37,495,521 of record NC_000009.12, on the reverse strand, counting down.
ACAGGTCTAAGCTGTGGGCATTTGGCATTTTGCTGAGGAATGGATTTGAATCCCAGGGGCCGGTCCCTCAGCTAGTGAGGAAGCCAAGTTAACCTCCTGGCAAGAGCACTGAGCAACTGCAAAGGTTTGGATGGAGCTCTTGTGAATGTCACAGAACACAGACACCCTCAGAGAACCTGACTGCACACACGTGCAAACATCTCAACTTGTGAAATAAGGCAGCTTTTCTACTGCAAGAAGGATACGATCTTCAAATTTATACACGTCTTCAGGCTTGGCTGCATCATCATAGCAGGGAGGAAGGTAGAGGGAGTCATCTTGCAAGTCATTGTGGATAGCATCGCTGACCAGAGCTTTTCAATAAAGAAACAATCCATGTATCACCCTGTTTGTTTCCAGTTCCCCAACATTCTTTTCAGTCTGTGCACTTCAGACCACCAATGGTCCAGAAACCCCAAGTCTAAATGCTTCTGCCAAAGTGACCTCGCCTCCCCATCAGGCTGACTGCTTCAGGACTGCCATGTTCACTCATGAACAAACACAAGCTAGGCACTGGAGAAGGTGGAGGTGACAAGATTCCCCTCAGGTAACTTACAATAGAGTTGGGATTGACAGCTGTGCTAATACATAAACATTTACAATATAAAATGAGAGAAACTAAAAGTGAGGGACGTCCAAAATAGCCTTTAATGGCTTAACTTCTAGAAAAACTTGCCACACATTGTAGGTGGAACAAAACTTTCAGAATATAACACTGTAACTGCCCCACAAGAATAACTCCGCAGCCAGGTGTGGTGGCTCACACCTGTAACCTCAACATTTTGGAAGGCCAAGGCGGGAGGATGGCTTGAGCCCAGAAGTTTGAGACCAGCCCAGGCAACATGGCAAGACCCTGTCTCTCCAAAAAACTAAAAAAATTAGCTGAGCATGGTGGCACACATCTGTGATCCCAGCCACTTGGGAGGCTGAAGTAGGAGGATCACTTGAGCCCAGGAGGTTATGGCTGCAGTGAGCCATGTCTGCACCACTGCACTCTAGTCTGGGTGATAGAGCAAGACCCCATCTCCAATCAATCAATAAATAAATTTGTGAAAGTGTTGAAATCTATATAATCATAGGGTATGGAAAGATTTTCCAAAAATTACTAGAATTTCATTCTTAATAGAAAAACTGCTCTGCCCAGGGCACAGTGGTGTGCGCCTATAATCCTAGCTACCTGGGAGGCTGAGGCGGGAGGACTGCTTGAAGCCAAGGGTTCAAGATCAGCCTGGGCAACATAGCAAGACCTCATCTCCAAAATCGGTAAAAAGAAAAGCTACTCTTACACAAACTTGCTCTTATGTTCTTATAATGTATTTGAACAATAAATACATTTTAAAATAATACAATTAAATACTCCAGCTGCTGAATACCGGAAACAGAGCCACTGATCCCAAAGTGAAATGCCACCTCTGGAGGCTCATTTCCATCAACACATCAGCCTTTTTGACCAAAGCTTCCCTGCAACGCACAAGGAGAGACCTGAGGCCTTCTCCCTCCTCTGTGCCCTGCAGGCCATAACCCCAGCACCATAAGCACGGCAGGCATGTATCCATTCCATGCCTGTCCCTGTACTTGACTGTGGATCACTAGAAGACAAAGCCATGTCGGATGTTTCTTACTACTTCCAGAACCTGTCCGTGAGAAGGCCTTCAGCAAGAGGCTGAAAGGAATCCAGCCCTAGCTCCCAGCATTCCATGTGTGGGTGGGTAAAAGATCTCAAGAGAAGAGAAAGCTGTCATTATGGGCAGACTCTTAGCCCAAGTTCCAACTTCTTACCAGTCACACCCTTCGTATCAATGATAGTCTCTGCAGCTTTAGCCACTGCACGATTCAAAGATTCATTGCCAACTCTGTTCATTCTCCTGGTGTTCAGAGCTCGCTTCTGTTTGGTGGTACCAAAGGCTTCAATACAAGAATCCATCTGTTTATGAGATAAACCTGGTTACTGGGGACAGGACAGGTAGGTGCTGCCCCTCCTAGCTGTGTCACTATGGGGATACTCTCAGCATCCCAGAGTGATCACTACCTCACCTGTGAATAAGGCTGAATCGCACCTATTTACCTCACAGGACTGCTGTAAGCACCAAATGATATTAACAGATTGATCAATCAACAGCATCTCCATCAGTAAGATATAAAGACTTGACTAGGATTAGGGCTGGCAAATCTGTAGCACATGGCTTACCATTCTCCCATCCTATGCCCGTAACAGACAGGAATAGTAGAATGGTAATTCTCCCATCTTACACCCGTAACAGACAGGGCTAATAGATCACTGACTCCTTCCCCCTGAAGCAAAAAGTAGCCTCACAACCCTTCTCAATACAGTGCTCCACACAGCACCAAAGATTCAATCAGTTTGTCATCTTGGGGTGAGATGACCTTTGTAGGGACCTTCTACATTGAAAATCCCCAAGTTTACTTTGTTTTAACGTGAATGTTTTCAGGCTACAACCAATATATTCTAAAACTTGGACTAAATCCTAAAAACAAGCATTATGCTACACTTGTATCAGCCCAGAGAACCGACTCCAAACATTGGCACAGAGCTGTGTTCAGCTGCCCCAGATGGGAGCCAGACTGTTCTCTGTGGGACCAAGGAGGCTTCTGCAGGTACAAACTAATTGTCCAGAGAAACAGACTGAATGAGCGGGGAGCAGCCAGGGAGACCCTTGAGTTCAACAAGCTCATTTCACTGATGGAGAAACCCGAGGTGTAGAAGGAACTTGCTTAAGGTCCCACATCTTAATTCTATCACACTCACCTTTTCTCTGTAAGTTTTGGTCTGACTCTCTAGCGCCAGTTCACTCTCAACTGATACATCTATCAAAACACACAAAAACAGAGAGAAAGAAAAGTCAATTGGGAGGCCTACAAATAGTAATAGTGTTTAATATTCATTTGTCTATCTAAGAATAATAGATTTCTTTACTATAGGACTTCCCTGAGCCTAACATGAGTGTATACTGTGAATATTTAATATGCAGCTTTAGTATACAGTTAAAGAACTTGGAAAATAAATTAGCCAAATCAAGCGGTCATCCAGCCCAACCTCTTCATTTTAGAAATTAAAAAACAGAAGGCCCACAGATGAAATTACTTGCCCCAGGTCAGTTCACCAGGTAGTGGCAGAGACAGGATTAGAAAACAAGTCCTTGGCTCTTTCCAGAAAATAATTTTGCTTTCTTGGTGAAAGACCTAAAAGCAGGCATAAACATGAGGTATGTGGTACTTACCGATGCTCTCCAATCATCTACAAAGTACTCAAATAAGGGCAGTATAACTTAGTACACAACAGTACAAGCTCTGGAGTGGCCTTGCCTGTTATCTCAGCCATCACCCCTGATAAGGTCATCTAACCTCTGTGCCAGTTTCATCACTGGTAAAAAAAGAACAACAGTACTTACTCCAGAAGGTTGGTATATGCATGGAAAGTGCTTAGAACAGTGACTAGCATATAGTAAGGACTTAAATGTTATCTCTGTGTGTGTGCTACCTAGAATAAACTCATATTTACAAACTTCTTACATATAACAACAAAAATATGTTTAATCAACACGTTAAATTACAATTTTCCTTGCCTCCCTGGATTTTACAAGAACAGTTGGAAGATGATTTAAATATAGTTATATATGTTTGCAAAGCAGGGGGACACCTAGGAAATTCACAGATGGGTGTCCGGACTCAAGAGACCTTTAAAATTACGTGTAAAATTTGGCTAGGCACGGTGGCTCACACCTGTAATACTAGCACTTTGAGAGACCAAGGTGGGTGAATCACTTGAGGCCACGAGTTTGAGACCAGCCTGGCCAACATGGTGAAACCCCATCTCTACTAAAAATACAAAAATTAGCCGAGTGTGGTAGCGCACACCTATAACCCCAGCTACTCAAGAGGCTGAGGCAGGAAAATCGCTAGAACCCGGGAGGCAGAGTCTTCTGTGAGCCCAGATTGCACCACTACACTCCAGCCTGGGTGACAAAGCGAGACTGGGTCTCAAAAAAAAAAAAAAATTATGTATAAAATCCCATATTAAAAAAAATCCCATATATATGTATTTGTGTATCATATATGTTTCTCAGAAGTAGGTCCAGGTCCTTAGCAGATTCTCAAAAGGGATGGAAGCACTGCTTTGAGAGAATAAAACTGGAACTAATGCCTCTGAGGTATCAGGCAGATTCACAATGCTCCCAATGTTTCTTTCTTGTCTATCGCCCTATCCTGCCATGGTTCCCAGTATTTAAGGGCATCACTAAGGATTCAAGTTCTGAGATTTAAGGAACAGAAGCCCCTTGAGTGTGACCCTTTTATTTATTATTTTGGAAGATCTCACTCTAGCCCTGAGCATTCTAAGATGACAAAGCAGAGAAACAATGTAAATTCTTCCACTGGATTAGGGAAAAAAAATAGATCTTCCTCAAATTAGTGTAGAGACTTGTCCTCAACGTGAAAGTTACTATACAACTTAATAAGCAATTTCCTTTGTCTACCAGAAATTCTAAAACCTCTTTACCCCAACTATAACAGTTAAGAATTAAGAAAGAACCCTTTCGGCCAGAACTGCCATCTTGCAGTAATTCATCAAAATGACAAACACAAAGGGAAAGAGGAGAGGCACCCAATATATGTTCTCTAGACCTTTTAGAAAACATGGAGTTGTTCCTTTGGCCACATATATGTGAATCTATAAGAAAGGTGATATCGTAGACATCAAGGGAATGGGTACTGTTCAAAAAGGAATGCCCCTCAAGTGTTACCATGGCTAAACTGGAAGCGTCTACAGTTTAGCATGCTGCTGGCATTGTTGTAAACAAACAAGGGCAAGATTCTTGCCAAGAGAATTAGTGTGCGTATTGAGCACATTAAGCACTCTAAGAGCCGAGAAAGCTTCATGAAACGGGTGAAGAAAGATGATTAGAAAAAGACAGAAGCAAAAGAGAAAGGTACCTGGGTTCAACTGAAGCGCCAGCCTGCTCCACCCAGAGAAGCACACTTGGTGAGAACCAATGGGAAGCAGCCTGAGCTGCTGGAACCTATTCCCTATGAATTCATGGCGTGACAGGTGTTTAAAAAATGAAAGACCTCTGGACTGTAAAAATGTTTCTCTTCATTGAGTAGAAGTGTGGTGTTCTCTCCCCCAAAGAAATATTTAAGGCAAATTTTAATTATGTCCTAGTTCATTATGTAATGTCTTTACTCTTCAAATTTAATGTATTTCTTGCTGAAAGACGTGAGGTAGCTTATTGTGCAACAAACTCCTCGATTGTTTAGAAAATGGCCAGGTATTACGTATGAAATATTTGTACTGGTTTGAAGATAGTCCCTTGAAATGATCAAGGAAGAAATAAAGTAATTTACAAAAATAAAAAATAAAAATAAAAAGAATGAAGGAAGTTCTTTTATGGAAAAGATTTTATATCAGACATGTCCTCTAATATTCTGCTCTGATCATTGCTCAGATTGCTTTTATGAACCTCTGACCTCAAGTCTCTAAACACTATGGGGACAGGATCTGTGTCTGTCTTGCTTACTGCCACATCCACAGCCCCAGCTTGGTGCCTGGTACATTAGGTTATCAATAAGTGTGTGCTGAATAAAAAACTCTAGGCCGGGCGCAGTGGCTAGCGCCTGTAATCCTAGCACTTTGGGAGGCCGAGGCAGGTGGATCACCTGAGGTCAAGAGTTTGAGACCAGCCTGGCCAACATGGTAAAACGCTGTCTCTATTAAAAATACAAAAATTAGCCGGGTGTGGTGATGTGCACCTGTAATCCCAGCTACTCGGGAGGCTGAGGTAGGAGAATCACTTGAACCCGGGAGGTGGAAGTTGCAGCGAGCCAATATCACACCACTGCACTCTAGCCTGGGTGACAGAGTGGGACTGCATCTCAAAAAAAACAAAAAACAAAAAACAGTGTGTATATAAAAAACCATTTTCTCAACACAGACAAAGCAGAAAAAACAGAATAAATAAATTAAAATAACTATAAAATGTGTTTTATAAATCTAAAACTCAAGCCAACTCATCCAGCAAACCCAAACTATGCATTATTTCTGTCAGCTTTCATGACTGGGACCTACCTGAAAATAGTGGCTGCATGTTGAACAATTCAGCATCATATACTTCCATTTGGCCAGAGGTCTTGTTCAAAATTCCCACAAAGTGCCTGAATAAAGAAGAAATAATACAAATAACAATGGATTATTCAAAAGCATTATTTGTACAGCTTTCTTTTTTTTTTTTTTGAGACAGAGTCTTGCTGTCACCCAGGCTGGAGTGGAGTGGCATGATCTCGGCTCACTGCAACCTCCACCTCCCGGGTTCAAGCAATTCTCCTGTCTCAGCCTGCTGAGTAGCTGGGATTACAGGCGCACGCCACCATCCCCGGCTAATTTTTGCATTTTTAATAAAGATGGGTTTCACCATGTTGTCCAGGCTGGTCTCGAACTCCTGACCTCAGGTGATCTGACCCTATCAGCCTCCCAAAGTGCTGGGATTACAGGCGTGAGCCACTGCACCTGGCCCTGTTTCCTGTTCAAAAGTTCTCAACCTTCTCTCTGCCCACACACCTGAGGAATGCATCATCTACTCATGGGTAACAATAATCTCCCCTACCCCTACCCCACAGCAATTCTCTGCATAGAGAGGGAATAGGAAAGGATAGGATGGGATGGGAGGATATGAGGTGGTTCTGGGAAAAAAAAAAAAGCTACTAGGTGATTCTGATAGTTGATCACATTTGGGCTCACTGCGGTAGTGTAATGGAAAACTCTTTTGGGGTGTACGAACCTAGAATTACACTACAATTTATGGCACAACAGTTTTATGGAGGCAAAATCAAGTAAACGGGGAGGAGACCAATTGGAACTAGGGCATCTCTGAGAGGGGAGAGTGCAGGGTTAATAGTTCTCAGCACCTATACACCCATCTGACCTCTCCTCTATTGGAGTATGGTCCACCGGGGCTCAGAAAGGGCCTAGTTTGTAGTTCATTGTTGGGTACCATCACAGGGCCCTGTCTGCATCATGCCAGCCCCCGAGAGTGATACAGTTCAGGCTGGACAATCTTCACTGTACAGAGGGGGAGGCTGGGGGTCAGTGATGCGCAGAGTTACCCAGCCACTCAGTCAATCAGCAGCACAGCTGGATGGGAATCCCAGGCTCCTCTTTCCCAGTCCAGAGCCTTCAACACTACCAAGTTCTTTACCTGTCGTTAGTTCCCAGGTAAACTTCACGCAAGCTTTGACCTACTAGTCACACATTCCAAATTAATGGAGAGACCTGCCTTTTGGAATAAGACAGCTATAAATAAACAAGATTACAAATGAATGAGGTTTTTAGGAAATTCAAGTTATCTTTCCTTTCCAGCAACGTCTACACGTGCAGGGAAGGGCTCTGGGTCTAATAGGAACACAGGGATCACCTAGTAAACCTCTCTAGATGGCTCCTGCTACCCTTAAAACAGACAGGAAACAGCAGTGCCAGTGCTGCCACCACTCCCAACCCCATCACCCTTCCCACTGTCCCTTCCCCTGCCATTACCTGCACAAAGTGTTGCATTTGAGGGCTCCAGTCCCAAAATTGTTTCCCACATAGGAGAGCCTATCTGTTTCAGCTGCCTAAAATGCAGAGAGGGGAAACTCCATTTACAACCAATGTTGAAAGGTATTAAGCATCATTTCTCTTTTCTACATTTGCTGAGGCTTTTGAATCCAGACTCACAATGGATTAGAACTAGTTCATCTCTGGCAGATGATCCAGCCCCACTATCTCTAAGGGAATATGGGGTGTCCCTGCAGGGGAAGCAAGACGACTTCTGGAAGAGAAGCCTCAGATGGTGCTAGCTTCTAAATGGTATGAAAAGCTCTTGGGGGAATTCTGCCACAAGACTTGAGAGAGAGGCCCTGGGCTTCTGGCACTTAAAGGTATGCAACAAAGTGATTCTGTAAGCAATCTCTCTTTGGCCTGTTCTTTGTATACTCTCAGGACCATGGCTGATTCACTCCCCAATCATAAGCAAGCTTTCCTGCTTCTCTGCATTTGTCCTCACTATCCTTTTCACTCGAAACACCAAACGTTGACTGCCAAACCCTCATTCCAGCCTTCAAGGCTCAGCTCCAACATGACCTCACCAAGGAAGGCATTCTGGCAGAGACCTCTCCTCCCACTGAGCTCACTCTGCCCTGTACTCTTCCCCACGTGGCCTCAGAGCTTTGTGTAAAAGTGTCCCTCACAGCCAGTTCTCATCTCTCTAGAGCAGAGGTTCTCAATCCAGGGAAATCCACTCTGGTGCTACTGGCATCTAATGAGTAGAGACTAGGGATGCTGCCCCCACAGCAAAGAATTATTGGCCCAAAAAGTCAATAGTCCTGAGGTTGAGAAACCCTGCTCTAGAGTATGAACTCTGAGTGGGGCTAGGCCTGATTTGGCTGTTTTCCTAGAAGCTTGCAGCACAGGGATGCAGAGGGGCAGGTTCCATAAATGCTTGTTGAAAGAACAAATGAATGAAAGATGGAGCCTGTCCCCACATCCCAGGCTGCTGGGCATCAGAGTTCTTCAAAGCTCCATTTGCTACTACTCCCCTTTTTCTCCCCTCACTCCCTCCCACATCCACCCACTCCCAGGGGCCTTCTGAGCCCTGCAGAGTGGAGACAGCTGGCAACTGCTTCACTTACCAGGATCCGTTGATTCCTCTTCCTGGGGTTGGTGGAATCTTTGTTCTCATACAAGGTAAAGCGCATGTTGCCTGGACTCTGTAGCTTCCCGTTGGAGAACTGGACTGTAAGAGTGCAGCCCAAGAATGAGATGAGAGCAGAAGGCCACACAATGTACCACACAATGTACGGTGGGACTAGACTGTCACTGGGAGGGAGTGTCAGAATGGGGATGGCAAGGAAGCTCGGGTCCTGACCCAAAGGGAACTGGAGGAGATCCGGGGCCAGCTGAGAAGAGGAGGTAGGGAGGTGGGAGAACCCTGGGGAGGGGCTGTGACAGGAGGGAATGTCTCGCGGAAGGAGGCTGACAGCAGAGGCCTGGTACATACCTAAAGTGACAGAAGGAACCCCTGCCCAGTGAAGAGAGGGAAATGGGGGAGGCGGGAGACCTGGTGGGTGAGGGGGTCAGCAGGGTCCTGGACACAGCTCTGGGGAGCGGGTGAGTGGGATGTCCCAATCTGGCTGGGAGGTAGTGACAGAAAGACGGACAGGGGAGCCCTGACAGAGCCCAGGGGAGTGGTGGAGACTAGAGGGGTCCCGGCCCCGCTGGGGAGAAGCCCAACGGAGGGCGAGAGGACAGCTGAGGTACCGAGACGGAAGGGGAGAGGGTTAGAGGAGCACTGCTCCAGCTCCGCAGTCTTTACCCAGTACAGCTCTCTGGCTCCCGTCGGGCGCCCCACAATACTGCCACCTCGCACTCGGCAACACCTCCGCCGCCATCTCGCCTGTCTGTCCGCCAAGCACAGGAGTTAAGACAGCAGCAGCCACAAGCGCACTTTTAAACACGCGGGAGCCCAGGCCGCGCTGCGGGCCGGAAAAGGCGTGGCCCCGCCGGGCACCGCCCACAGCGCGCGAGCCGCGTGTCCCCGCCCCCCGCGTAGAGAGGCGTGGTCTCCGCCCACAAGGTGCCACACACCCGCTTGACTGGCCGAGGCGCAGCACCTGATTGGCTCAGCGCTCGCGTGCACTCTGGGTTTTGTAGGTCCAGAGCCCGAGGCGCCAAAGGCTTCAGCCTAAGCTTGCTATGAGCCTTCTTCCGGCTCAGCACCTTCTAAAGAGAGTGTCGTCTCTCTCTCCTACCGTGACAAACTCATCTTCCCAAGACCTGAAGGACCAAGTTCAAATTTAGAATTCTCTGACAGGAACTGCTTGAGCCCCAACTAAATGTGGCCGCTGGCGAATAGCCGCCCCTCTCTAGGGCTTCCCACCCACCCACGTGGACATCCAGCTCTAGGTACAAACTTTGTCCACAGTCCGACAAACAGCTCCCCGCCATGGGCTGTGGCGTGCACACCTGTGGCCCAATCAACACTGAGGTGATGGAACAGAAGCCCAGCCAACCCCGGAGCCTTTGGGCAGGAGATTCTGGACTGGAATAGAAGAGGGAGTCCGAGCTGATGGACATGTCCCTTTTTCACTGCGGATTCAACCCTTCTTCTGCACGGGGAGTTTTCAGAGCAGAAAGAAGGCGAAAGCAGGGCCTTTAAGCATGGACGCTGGCCGAGGCCCCCTTTGCCCAAAGATGCGTACTATTGAAGGGCAAGAACTCCGGTTGACTCCCCTCTGTCTTCCAAATCACCTTCTTTCAAGACTCTTTTCCTTCCACACACCCTCAACACCCGCCTCCAACACCCAGGATCCTAGGAATAACCCTAAAGCCTGCATGCCCCTTTGCCTGAGCACTTGTCACGCTTTTCTAATTACCCAATCTCAAACGTAAAGAAACACTGCAAGAAATGTTTTTGCCCTGAACCATTTAGAGTAAGTTGTCAACCTGATACCCTTTCAACCCTGAAGACTATAGTATTTCCTACAGACATTCCCTAAATAACAACACAGCCATCAGAATCAGCAAATTGCCGGGCGCAGTGGTTCACGCCTGCAATCCCAGCACTTTGGGAGGGAGAGGCAGTTCTATCCCTTGATTCCAGGAGTTTGAGACCAGGCTGGGCAACATAACAAGACCCTGTCTCTACAAAAAATAATATTAGCCATGTGTGGTGGCGCACGCGTGTCGTCCCAGCTACTCGGGAGGCTGAGGTGGGAGGATTGCTTGAGCCTAGGAGGCAGAGGCTGCAGTGAGCTGTGATGGTGCCACTGCACTCTAGCCTGGGCGACAAAAAAAAAAAAAAAAATTAAACAGAAAAGAATCAGGAAATTAGCACTGGTACATTACCACCATGTAATCCTCACATCCCATTTAAGTTCACCCATTGTCCCAACGTTTGTTGTTAGTTTGTTTTTTGAGACAGGGTCTCACTCTGTCACCCAGGCTGGAGTGCAGTGTTGCAACCAGGGCTCACTGCAGCCTTGACCTTCCAGGCTCAAGTGATCCTCTCACCACAACCTGGGAATACAAGTGTGTGCCACCACACTCAGTTTTGTTTTGTTTTTTCTTAATTAAAAAAATTTTTTGTAGAGACTAGGTCTCACTGTGTTGCCAGGGCTGGTCTCAGACTCCTGGGCTCAAGTGATCCTCCCACCTTGGCCTCCCAAAGTTCTGGGATTACAGGCGTGAGCCATTGCAGCTGGCCCAATCATGTTTTTATAGCAAAAATGTCCTGTCAAGAATCATGTGTTGCATTTAGCTCTCATAGCCTTTCCTCCCTTAGAAGGCTACCTTGCTTGACCCCACCTCATGATTTTGGATTGAATTGTTCAGGAAAGGAAAAGGGAAGAAGAAGAAAGAAGAAAGAAGGATGAAGAAAGAAGAGCTTAATTGTGTGATTGTCTCACCCATTGATTGTTTCCTCACTAAACTTACTTGGGGTTCACAATAAACACTTTGGAGGTTAATAAACAAATTTATGTTTGTTTTGATCACTGCTTTATCTCCAAATCCTGAACATACTAGACCCTCAATAAATATGGAATGAATTAATGAATGACAGGGCAAAGAATGGGCCTGAATTATCACTAATCTTGGAAGCCTAGCACAGGGACTGGAACTCAAAGATGTTTGGTAATATTGGTTGAAATCAACTAGCATAGGGTTTACACATAACAGACTCTATAAATGTTTTTTGGTTGAATGAAAATATGAACAGTTAAATCAAAGTTAAAGGTGACCAAGATAACAGTGGCTACAATGAGCCAAGTATAGTTCTTAAGAGAAGTATCTTGTGATATAGGAACACATTATATGGCCTTGTTACTCATGATATAGGAACACATTGTATGGCCTTGTTACTCAAAGTGTGGTCCATGGAAACAGCAGCCTCGACAGCACCTGGGAACTTGTTAGAAATATAGGATCTCCAACCCTATCAAATCTTCTGCAACAGGATCTGCAGGTGATTCATGTGCACTTGAAGTTTAGGAATCACTGTTATACCGGACTGATTCCCCTTTAAGGCACATATTTGCCAGTCAGACAGATTATGTGCAAGTCCCCTGGATTGACTGTTTTGTAGCGAGGACAAAGAGTGAAGAGTACAACACACCCACTGAAGCAAAAACTCCTAGAATTACCACAGGCAAGAATTCCAAATGACGGAGATTCTATCCGTGGAAGCAAAGTGTTGATGGTCAGGCAGCTGGGAAGGGGATCATAGTATACCCCTGTGTTGTTTAATTATTTAACAGTTATTCAAAAGACACACCTATACACACCATGTACATATACATACGTGCCTGTGTAACTGGGATGGGGCAGGATGGAGGTGGGATGGGGCAGGATGGAGGGAGCCCTACATAGGCATTAACCAAAATGCAAAAACCTATAGTGGCCTCTTTTATTTTTTTATTTTATTTAATTATTTATTTATTTTTTTGAGGCGGAGTCTCACTCTTGTCGCCCAGGCTGGAGTGCAGTGGTGTGATCTGGGCTCACTGCAACCTCCGCCTCCTGGGTCCAAGCAGTTCTCCTGCCTCAGCCTCCTGAGTAGCCAGGATTACAGGTGCCCACCACCACGCCCGGCTAATTTTTGTAGTTTTGTTAGAGACAGGGTTTCACCATGTTGGCCAGGCTGGTCTCGAACCCCTGACCTCAAGTGATCCACCTGCCTCAGCCTCCCTAGGTGTTGGGATTACAGGCGTGAGCCACCACACCTGGCCAGGTGGCCTCTTTTATATTCAAATCGTGGATAATCACAGGCAAAATTTACCACATAATTTTTTTTGGAAATTTAGTTTGGAAATAATTCAGAGACACCTGGAGTTCTCTTTTAGTATCATTTTTCAGAGAAGGAAAATGGTTTTCCAGAGGGCAAAAGGAGAGGGAGAAAAGCAAAGTCCTCCTTTCCTGGGGTAATATCTCCATCTGCTGGTGTTTCAGGATAACACTAACAAAGACCTGAAAAGGCGAGTCAGATTCCATACTGTTTGCAGTGACTCGCCCTGTACTCTGGGGAATGGCTTCTTTTTTTTTTTTTTTTTTTTTTTTTGGAGACAGAGTCTCGCTCTGTCACCCAGGCTGGAGTGTAGTGGCGCGATCTCGGCTAACTGCAACCTCTGCCTCCCGGATTCAAGCAATTCTCCTGCCTCAGCCTCCTGAGTAGCTGGGATTACAGGCGTGCATCACCATGCCCGGCTAATTTTTGTATTTTTAGTAGAGATGGGGCTTCACCATGTTGGTCGGGCTGCTCTTGAACTCCTGACCTCGTGATCCCCTGCCTCAGCCTCCCAAAGTGTTGGTATTACAGGCGTGAGCCACCGCGCCCGGCCGAGAATAGCTTCTTCTGTCTCACCTCTTCTCTTCCTTTCTTGTCCCTCTGCTTCTCTTTTTCCTCCCTTCCTTTCTCCCTCTGTGTTTGTCTCACTCTCTTGTTCTCTCCTCTGGTCATTCCCATTCCTTTCCTTCATATCCCTGATGCAGACCCTCTTTGCATACCTACACACATGGATGACTCACTCCTTAAAAGGTGGACTTCTCACCTTGAACAGGTTTTTTCCTTACATGGAGCTGACTCTACCTTCTGTAGCTTCTCCCTATAGCTCCAGTTCTTCATTCCGGGGTCATGCAGAACACAATCAGCTCTTCTTGCCTGTGCCCTTCAAAAGCCTGGAGACGTCTATCATGCTTTCCATGTATCTGTTCCTCTCCTCTCCCAGCCAAAATTATCCCTCACATACCAAAGTTTCTAGGTCCCTCCTCTTCCTGGTCACCTCTGCTAGACATATGCCAGTATATCTGGATCCTTCAGGGTCCCATACAGATCAGTACTTCAGCACTGGGCTGGGTAGCACAGAACAAGGAGAATTCATCACATCCCCTGTGCATTTGTTGTAAACATCTATACTGCTCAGTTAACTTACTGGGGTTAAGAATAAACAAAAGTTCTTAGCTTTGCTTCTGCTAAGTTATATCATCCTTGTAACTTTTTTGAAAAACAAAAATTCAGAGCTTTGTATTAAGGGCTGTTAAATTTACTCAAGTTAGATTCAGCCTGTTTATATATTTAAATTTTTCTGAATATGTATTAGATAAAAAACTTATCAAATAAATACATATTTGATGTTGAAAATACAGAAACATATTAATAATAAAATTACAGTAATCTATGATATCTTCCCCACAAAAAGGCAAAAATTATTCAATTTGGTTGTATTTCTTTCTAGTTTTTTTCTCTGTGCATATGCACATTTATATAATTGATATAATACTGTATTCAATTTTGTACCTCCCTTTAAAAAAATTTCACCCAGCGCTTTGGGAGGCCAAGGTGAGCGGATTGCTTCAGGCTGGGAGCTCAGGATCAGCCTGGGCAACATAGACTCTGCCTCCACAAAAAATAAAAATATTAGCTGGGTGTGGTACATGTGCCTGTGGTCCCACCTACTGGGGGGCTTAGGCAAGACAATTGCTTGAGCCCAGGAGTTCAAGGATGCAGTGAGCTATGACTGCACCACTGCACTCCAGTCTGGGCAACAGAGCGAGACCCTGTCCCAAGGGAAAACAAACAAACAAACAAACACTGTGCCTGCTATTTTGGATGAAACTCTAGGATTTGAATTGAACATGAACATTTTTAAAAGATTATTTTTTGTTTTAAGTTCAGGGGTACATGTGTAGGTTTGTTACATAGGTAAACTCATCTCATGGGGGTTTGTTGTACAGATTATTTCATCACCCACATATTAAGCCTAATATCCATTAGTTATTTTTCCTGACCCTCTCTCTCCTCCCACCCTCCACCCTTCGATAGGCCCCAGTGTGTGTTGTTCCCCTCTGTGTGTCCATGTGTTCTCATCATTTAGCTCCCACTTATAAGTGAGAACAATATTTCATTTTCTGTTCCTGTGTTAGTTTGCTAAGGATAATGGCCTCCAGCTTCATCCATGTCCCTGAAAAGGACATGATCTTGTTCTTTTAAAAATATTCTTTTTTTAAAACACTTTATATCATTTATACATTAGATCTAAAATCTGCAGTTTCTAAGCACAACATGTTTAGATCTTTCAGATCCTTCTGCAGTTTTAGGTTATTTCTACAGAAGTACCTTTAAGTGAATGAATAACACATTCTATAATTCCTAAAAATATAGTACAGAGTGAAATAATTTAAATATAATTTAGGCACATATTGATTATGAAAATAGATTATCTCCCCATACAATACTTCACTGTCTTGGTAAAAATAATAAAGCAAAGAAAATAATTCATTTCTGAAGTTGCTTTCCTTCACTCGTAAAGGTCTGATCTTCTCCCACTATGCATATGTACCCTTTACTGTTAAGGAAAGCTTTGCATATGTAGATATAGAAGAATAAGCTACATAAATACTAAAGATATGTCATTCTCCCAAAGGAGACAAAAGTGGTTTTCAATGACTTCTTGCCTCATGTTGATGAGTCTGTAGAATTTAGAACCCATTTGGACACAGCTAATATCCCTGCTCTTGGGGTAGACATAAGGACACCAGGCCATTGGTAGGGAATACAGGCCCTTCCTCTGCTGCTGCGGAGAGATAATGACTCAAGAAAATTGGGCTAAAATTTGTTTTTAAAAAAATAAAAAATATAAGTGAAAGAATCACAGGTACTGACTGATTGGTATTACATCTTGGGCCAGCCAAATGCCTTTATTTTTACTTTATATATATTTTTTGGTGGCTGTAATCAAATGTCTGTTTAAAATTCCTCATTCTCCACTGTAGGATTCTAGCTGCAATTATATTACATTGCCTTTTAACAGGCAACTCTACCATCTTCATTCATATAGTATAAGCTTTGATTGCAGTAGATCTGGATTTAATGTCTATTTCTAAGCTGGCCCTATGTAAACTATTTGGTATTTGAATTAAACGAATACTAATGATGCACCTTGGAGTTTTGGTTTTGAAGTATCTTCCTATGCTTGTGATGATTGTATTAGAAAACTAGGGTAAGGCCAGGTGCAGTGGCTCAGGCCTGTAATCCCAGCACTTTGGGAGGCTGAGGTGGGCAGATCACGAGGTCAGGAGATCAAGACCATCCTGGCTACCATGGTGAAACCCCGTCTCTACTAAAAATACAAAAAAAATTAGCCGGGCGTGGTGGTAGGCGCCTGTAGTCCCAGCTACTTGGGAGGCTGAGGCAGGAGAATGGCGTGAACCCAGGAGGCGGAGCTTGCAGTGAGCTGAGATTGCGCCACTGCACTCCAGCCTGAGTGACAGAGCGAGACTCCGTCTCAAAAAAAAAAGAAAGAAAACTAGGCTGATAGTATAAATAGATAGAATTTCTTGGTCTGGTGTTGAGTGGAACTTCCCTAGAATGAAATTCTGAGAAATGCTCATTTACAAGTGTTGTAGTGATAGGTAAGTTCTTCCTCCATCTGGAGTTCCGCTGTACCTTTGGAATGACGGTGATGTACAACGATGTCTTTCTTTCCACTCTGTCTCAATCAGTAAGAACTGGATATTACTTTAATTTAGCTACATTTTGTTCTAAAAAGTAAACATAAAAATGAACCTGAAAAGAGTTTTAGGGAGTCTGATCTCACCATATTCATATGGTGTGACAGGTATTTAAAGAGGGGAGGCATCACTGAAGCTATTTATAAACCTGAGCAACCTTTTCCAAGTTTTCATAAAGTTTTAACAATTTAAATATCCATACTGCATCTAGGTATTCAATAAATATAATTGCATATGTTGTGCTTTCCATAAATTAAAATCCTCAAATGCATCTCAAACCAAGAGGGCATTTCCACATCATGCCTATTTAAAAGCAAATACAATAGATACTATTCGTGGTCATAAAACCAGGTAAACTCCCCTACCCCATTCAAAAGGCAGCAATATCTAGTTTCCCTACATCTATTGAATGAGTGCTTTTGCGTTAAAAATCAGAATATGGAAAAAAAAGTCAGTTTTTTCCCTTATGCATGCTGAAAACAAGCATAATCCTCTAAATGATTTTTTAAAATTTGCTGACAGTGTTATTTCTTCTAGACAACTGAGTGGGTGGAGAAAGAAAAGCGATAAGGAAAACATTTTCATCTTGCACATCTTCCTTCAGCCCCTAAAATTCTCATCTGACACTTTGCGACATGTGTAGTGGTGTCAGCATCTCTTCAAATCTAGCTCCCCTCACGTTGGACCCTCTCAGGTTGGCTTCTTGAAGATCACACCCAGACAGATCACAGTTCTCTAAATCAGTTCCTGTCAGAGTTGCTCCTCTGAGGCTACAGTTCTTCAACTTTGCATTTTTTAAGGTAGCCACTCTCAGGTTAATTCCTGTCATCTGACTTCCTTCCATATCCACACCTTTCAGATTAGCACCTTCTAAATTGGCTTTAAGACCAGAAGGATCCTCAAAATTACACAGTTTCAGAGATGCTCCTTCTGCATTAGAACAGAGCATTTGACTCCCTGGAGATTTGCACAGTCAAGCACTGATCCAGAGAGATCAGCTCATTCAAGATTTGCACAGCAAAGATTTGCATGTGCAAGATTGCAGCAGTTTAAATTGGTGATTTTGAAGTTAATGTATCGAAGATCCAAATGAGAAAGTTCAGCACCACTGAAGTTCAAACCCTGGCATCGCATTTCTGACTTGGTTGGAGTTGCTAGCAAACATCGGACAAATTCCTTTCGGGATATTGGTAAGTGATCCTCTGGTGGTTGAGAATTCTTTATTGCCACTTTTAGGTGTTCAATCAATGAGTCAATACCAAAAAATCTTGCTTCTTCTAACACACCCAATAAATCAATGCCATCATTTACAATGAGCTGTCCATGACGCAAGTAGTTCAAAATGGGTTCAAAGTACTCAGGACTTTGGTCAATTAAGAAAGCTCCTCTATGATCTTGCTTATTTCCCCAGACACCTTTGTCCTTAAACATGTGGGCCAGCATAATGTCAGGTTCTTTATTCACTAAAGTGCTCCAGGTAGTTGTAAAGTACTGCCCTCCAACATGTAATGTTAGCCAGTCTGTGTGGAATCCTAGCAATCCTTCAGGAGGCTTAGAATCTGTCTGAGGATCAATAAATGGCTCTCCCTCACACACAAATAAAACATCATCATCCCTGATCAAAACAATATCATCATTCAGTCCACCTTTCCCATTATACACACTGGTGGCTTTTATGCCGAGTTTACTGCTGGCCACAGACAGCAAATCACATGAAGTTCCATATGCAGCAACCACCTTTCCGTTCTTGGGGCTGCCGTTCAGGAACAGGGTCACCCGCCTCATTGCGCTGCCCCCGCGGGTTCCTGAGTGAGCTGCCACCCTCCCACCTGGTCCTCTTCCCACCTTTTTCTCCTCCCGCCCTTCCCCTCCCTCCACCCACTCTGATTCACCTCCCTTCGCCAAATTCCTGCCCTTGGGGACACACCACACACGCACTCTGTCCCACATGAGGGTTCGGCTGGTCCTCCTTCCCACCCCTAAAAAGGATTCTTAATACACAGTCAAATTTATCGCTGAACAATTTTCAGATGTTTTAAAATCCTCATGCTGTCTTCTAACATTGTACAAGACATTTCAAAAGATATAAGAATTAAAATCTACGATCCTTGGCTTCAGGAACTAACTTCCTAGGAGGAACACAGAAAATGGAAAAAGCATACTATAGGGTGGATACTGCTGAGTCTCTAGAATTGCCCTTTTAGGTTCTATCAGGTTTTTTTGTTTTTGTTTCTTTGGAGGCAGAGTCTCACTCTGTCACCCAGGCTGGAGTGCAGTGGTGCGATCTCAGCTCACTGCAACCTCCGTCTCCTGGGTTCAAGCGATTCTCCTGCCTCAGCCTCCTGAGTAGCTGGGATTACAGGCACCTGCCACCATGCTTGGCTAATTTTTTTGTATTTTTAGTAGAGATGAGGTTTCACCATGTTGGCCAGGCTGGTCTTGAACTCCTGACCTCAAGTGATCTGCCTGCCTTGGCCTCCCAAAGTGCTGGGATTACAGGTGTGAGCCGCCACACCCGGCCTGGTTCTGTCAGTTTTGTTGGCTTCACATATTGCCATGGTTTGAATGTCCCCTCCAAAAGTCATGTTGAAATGTAATTGCCATTGTGATAGTATTAAGAGGTGGGGCCTTTAGTAAGTGACTAGGGGCTGGGCATGGTGGTTCACGCCTGTAATTCTAGCACTTTGGGAGGCTGAGGTGAAAGAATTGCTCAGGAATTCGAGACCAGCCTGGGCAACATAGTGAGACCTTGTCTCTACCAAAAAATAAACAAGGCTGGGTGCAGTGGCTCATGCCTGTAATCTTGGCACTTTGGGAGGCTGAGGCGGTTGGATCACCTGAGGTTGGGAGTTCCAGATCAGCCTGGCCAACATGGTGAAACCCTGTCTCTACTAAAAATACAAAAAAAAAATAACTGGGCATGGTGGCAGGTGCCTGTATCCCAGCTACTTGGGAGGCTGAGGCGGGAGAATCGCTTGAACCTGGGGGCCGAGGTTGCAGTGAACCGAAATTGTGCCACTTCACTCCAGCCTGGGCAAAAGAGCAAGACTCCGTCTCAATATAAACAAACAAACAAACAAACAAAATTAGCTGGGTGTGATGGCATTCACCTGTGCTCCCAACTACATGGGAAGCTGGGGTGGGAGGAATGCTTGAGTTGGTGAGGCTGAGGCTGCAGTGAGCTGAGATCTTGCTACTGCACTCCAGGATGGGCAACAGAGTAAGATTCTCTCTGTCACACACACACATACGCGCACGTGCACACACACACACACGAAGTAATTAGGTCATAAGGGCTCTGCCTTCATGAATTAATTAATGCCATTATCGTGGGAGTGGGTTAGTTATCAGAGTAGTGGTTTTCCGATTTTAAAAAAGACTAGTTCAGCCCAATTTCTCTCTCCCTTTGTCTCATACACTGGCTTGCCTTTTCAGGCTGGAATCACCAGATTCCAATGCCATGCTCTTTGATTTCCTGGACTCCAGAACCATGAGCCAACTAATTCCCTGTCTTTATGAGTTACCCAGTGATATGGTTTGGCTCTGTGTCCTTACCCAAATCTCGTGTTGAATTGTAATCCCCAGTGTTGGAGGTGGGGCCTGGTGGGAGGTGATTGGATCATGGTGGTGGTTTCTAATGGTTTAGCACTATTCCCCTAGTGCTATCTCATGATAGAGCTCTCATGAGATCTGGTTGTTTGAAAGTGTATAGCACCTCCCCCTTCACTTTCTTCTTCTTGCTCCCACCATGTAAGATATGCCTGCTTTCCCTTCACCTTCCACAATGACTGTAAGTTTTCTGAGGCCTCCCCAGCCATGCTTCCTGTAGAGCCTATGGAACTGTGAGCCAATTAAATTTCTTTTATTTATAAATTACCCAAGTTTCAGGTATTTCTTTATACCAGTGTGAGAATGGGCTAATACACCCAGCCTGTGCTGGTGATCTGTTATAGCAACAGATAATGGGCTAAGATGTGTTTTGAAGCTTTGTTACTAGAAACATGTTCATTCAGGGGAATTATCTCTTCTTTATTAATTCACCCTTTTATCATTAGAATTGTCTTTCTTAATATCTTGCAGTATAACTTATCCTAAAATCCACTTTACCAAATATTAATATAGTCACTCCGGTTTTCTTATGATTGTCGTTTATATGATATATCTTTTTCCATATTTTTTACTCTCAACCTATTTATGTCTTTATATTTAAAACAGGTTTTCTATGCACTGCATATAGTTGGGTCTTTTTTTTAATTCAGTCTAACAATCACTGCCTTTTAATTGAAGCTTTTAGAGCATTTACATTTAGTGTAATTATCAACATTGTTGGGTTTAAATCTACCATTCAGTTACTGTTTTCTATTTGTGCCATTCCTTTTTTATTCCTTTTTCCTGCATTCTTTTGGATTATTAGAATTTTTTTAGTATTTATTTTATTTCCACTATTGGTTATTAGATATACCTCTTTAGTGTTTTCGGTGGTTGATCTAGAGAAGGGGGTGGCAAATATGACTGTCTTAGTCGGCTTGGGTTGCTATAACAAAATACCACAGAGTGAGTGACTTAAACAACAGACCTTTATTTTTCACAGTTCTTGAGGCTCTAATATCCAAGATCAAGGCGCCAGCAGATTCAGTTCCTGGTGAGGGCCCCCTTTCTGCCTTGTAGACAGCCACCTTCTTGCTGTATCCTCACACGACGGAGAGAGAAGCTCTAGTGTCTCTTTCTCTTATTTATTTATTTATTTATTTATTTATTTATTTATTTATTTTGAGGCAGATTCTTGCTCTGTTGCCCAGGCTGGAGTGCAGTGGTGCTATCTCGGCTCACTGCAACCTCCGCATGCTGGGTTCAAGCGATTCTCTTGCCTCAGCCTCCTGAGTAGCTGGGATTACAGGTGTGCACCACCACACCTGGCTAATTTTTGGGTTTTTAGCAGAGATGGAGTTTCACCATGTTGGTCAGGCTGGTCTTAAACTCCTGACCTCATGATCTGCCTGCCTCAGCCTCCCAAAGTGCTGGGATTACAGGTGTGAGGCACCACTCCATCTTCCTCTTCTTTTACAGCCACCAATCCCATCCTGGGTGCTCTACCCTCAAGATCTCATTTAAAGCTAATTACCTCCCAAAGGTCCCACCTCCTAATACCATCACACTGGGGGTTAGGGCTGCAACACATCAATCCAGGTGGAGGAGACACAAACATTCAGTTTGTAACAATGTCCCAATGGCTAAATTTGGCCTATTTTTATATAATCCTTGGGCTAAGAATGTTTATACATTTCTTAAGAGTTGCAAAAACAAAACAAAACAAAAACAAAAGGAGGAAGAAAAATATGTGATGAATATGCAACAGAGACCACTTGCAGTTTGCAAAGCCCAAAATATTTACTGTCTGTCCCTTTATAGAAAATATTTGCTGACCCCTGCTCTAGGGTTTATAACATGCATCTTTGGCCAGGCATGGTGGCTCATGCCTGCAATCCCAGCACTTTGGGAGGCCGAGGTGGGTGGATCATCTGAGGTCAGGAGTTTGAGACCAGCCTGACCAACGTGGTGAAACCCCATCTCTACTAAAAATACAAAATTAGCTGGGCATGGTGGCACACACCTGTAATCCCAGCTACTAGGGAGGCTGAGGCAGGAGAATCGCTTGAACCTGGGAGGCGGAGGTGCAGTGAGCCGAGATTGAGCCATTGCACTCCAGCCTGGGCAACAAGAGTGAAACTCCATCTCAAAAAAAAAAAAAAGAAAAAAAATGCATCTTTAAAATATCCGTGTACATAGAGATAATATTACACCATTTCACATACAATGTAAAAGCCTTTCTTTTTTTTTTTGTTTTTGAGACGGAGTCTCGCCCTGTTGCCCAGACTGGGGTGCAGTGGCACAATCTCGGCTCACACAGCCTCTGCCTCCCAGGTTCAAGTGATTCTCCTGCCTCAGCTTCCTGAGTAGCTGGGACTACAGGTGCCTGCCACCACTCCTGGCTAATTTTTTTGTATTTTTAGTAGAGACGGGGTTTCGCCACATTCACCAGGCTGGTCTCGAACTCCTGACCTTGTGATCCGCCCACCTCAGCCTCCCAAAGGGCTGGGATTACAGGCGTGAGTCACCGTGCCCGGCCAAAAGCCTTTCTTTTAAAGAAATTGAAAAACAAACAAAATCTTATTTTTATTATTCAGCTTTAGTCAGAATTTGAATGTTTCCCATCTCTGTGTGATTTTTCAGAATTGTTCTTTGCCTGGCCTATTTTAGAGTTTCATCTTACTCATACACAGTTTGGTAATCACTAACAGACTGTGGAAGATTCCTAGGAAGAATTTCTGGAAGGCTTTTTATGCCTAGGTGCCTCTTCTCCAGTAATTTACCCTGCAAATTCCTGCTGACTCACTCTCTTGGAATTCCAATCTCTCTCCTCAAATCAGTGGGAGACTACCATGCTCTGTTTGAACTCTCCTTCCTGTTTCGTTGTCCAGAAAGTGTCTCCGGGAAGAAAACTGGAGCAATTGTAAGGCTCCCTTGCTTTTGTTCCCCCCTCTCTCAGGAATCACTGTTTTGTGCTGCCTACTGTCCAATGTCTAAAAACATTATTTCACCTTTTTTTTTTCTAGTTTTCTAGGTGTTTACTCACGGAGGACAAGTACGGGAGCAGTTAGTTACTCTGTTATAGCAAAAGTGAAAGTCTCCTCATTCTTTTTTTTTTTTTCTTTCCTCAATTTTTTTTTTTTCTTTTTGAGACAGGATCTCACTTTGTCGCCCAGGCTGGAGTGCAGTGGCATGATCATGGCTCACTGCGAGTGCAGTGGCATGATCATGGCTCACTGCACCCTTGATGTCCCAGGCTCAAGTGATCCTTGCACCCAGGCTCCCAAGTAGCTTGGACTACAGGTGCACGCCACCAAACCTGGCTAATTTCTGTATTTTTTGCAGAGATGGGGCCTCCCTATGTTGCCCAGGGTGGTCTTGAACACTTGGACTCCAGTGATCCTTCTGCCTTGGCCTCCAAAAGTGCTGGAATTACAGGCATGAGCCACTGCGCCCAGCCTCCCTCAATATTTTGTTTAACAACTTCATAGATTCAATTGTATGGATGTACTCTAATTTATTTAGTTAGTCCTCACTGATGAATTGTTTGTTTTGGATTGTTTTTTAATACAAATAATGCTGCAATAAATAACTGTGCATATGTGATTTTATACTTGTGTATATGTGTGGGATAAAATTCTAAAAGTGTGATCTCACTGAGTAAGAGATTATTTGTAGATGAATTTTTGCCAACTTAAGATTCAATGATTGGAGCCCTACAGATTAACTGAAAAAAGACAGATTGACAGAAGAAAAGACAAGTTTATTCATGTATGTGGAAGTGTACAGAAAAAGTGACACTCCCTACAGTTAGAGTTAAGGATTTATGTATCATCTTAATAAGGAGAGACAGGACCTTCAAGGAAGAGAGTTCGGACTTCAAGGGAAAGCAAATGGTGAGAAACTAGTGAGAAACAAGTGAAAGCAAAGAAGTGGAAGGTACAGACAATTCTGATAACCTTTTGTTTATGTAATTTCTCATCCAGGTGCAAATGAGCTATCTCCTTTCTGGTTGTAAACCACCTGGAAAGGGGATTTGTGATGGTTGTATTTTCAGGAAGCTTTGGATAAATCAAGGAAAGAAGCTTAGATAAGATTTTTTCTTTATGGCTGCTGTTTGTTAGATGTTTTCAGCTTAAAATAATCTCCATAGCACATCAGTAGTTCTGAGTGGATTCCATTAGTAGATACTGCCAAATTGACTTCTGTAGAATCTGTACCAATTTCTACTCCCACTAGCTGTGAATAAGAATGGCTGCTTATACCTAAACCCTTGCAAACATGGCATGTTATAAAATAGTTTGATTTTTTTCTGATCCAGATAGTTGAATAATGATATCTCATTGTATTATATTTAGTATTTCTTTTGTATGAGGTAGAATGAGAATCTTTTCATGTTTATCAGCCATTTTCTTTTTCCTTTTTCTTTTTTTTTTTTAAGACGGAGTCTTGCTCTGTCACCCAGGCTGGTGTGCAGTGGCGCCATCTGGGCTCACCACAACCTCTGCCTCTGGGGTTCAAGCGATTCTCCTGCCTCAGCCTCCTGAGTAGCTGGGATTACAGGCACGTGCCACCACGCCTGGCTAATTTTTCCATTTTTAGTCGAGATGAGGTTTCACCATGTGTGTCAGGCTGGTCTCGAACTCCTGACCTCATGATCCGCCAGCCTCGGCCTCCTAAAGTGCTGGGATTACAGGCGTCAGCCATTTTTATGTCTTGTTCTATGAATTCTCTATTTGTGTCCTTTGCTTATTTTTACAGTTGGTTATTGGTCTTAATGAGATACAGGAACTCTTTATATGTTAAGGAACCTAGCCTTTTAAATCTATGTTATGGCCGGGCACATTGGCTCATGCCTGTGATCCTAGCACTTTGGGAGGCTGAGGCAGGAAGACTGCTTGAGGTCAGGAATTTGAGACCATCCTGGGCAACACAGTGAGACCCCATCTCTACAAAAAATAAAAACTTGCCAGGCATGATGGCACATGCCTGTAATCCCAACTACTAGGGAGGCTGAGGCAGGAGGATTGCTTGAGCCCAGAAGGTTCAGGCTGTAGTGAGTTGATCATGCCACCGTACTCCAGCTTGGATGACAGAGTGAGACTCTTGTCTCTAAAAATTTTTTTTAAAATCTATGTTATGTGTTGCAAATGGTTTTCTCTATTCTTTGTCTTTCAATTATGGAATTTTTTGCACAATAGAAAAATGTAAATTATTATTTAGCTTCATTTATCAGACTTACTCTCTACCGCTCAGGCTTTGTATTTTGTTTAAAAAGGTCTACTTTACTTCAAGATTATAAAATATATTGTTTGGCCAAGTGCAGTGGCTCACGCCTGTAATCCCAGCTCTTTGGGAGGCCAAGGTGGGCAGATCACCTGAGGTCAGGAGTTCAAGACTAGCCTGGTCAAAATAGCAAAACCCCATCTCTACGAAAAAATACAAAAATTATCCGGACACGGTGGTATGAGCCTGTAGTTCCAGCTCCTTGGGAGGTTGAGGCAGGAAAATTCCTTGAACCTGGGAGGTGGAGGTTGCAGTGAGCTGAGATCGTGCCACTGCCCTAGCCTGGGCGACAGAGCAAGACTCTATCTTAAAAAAAAAAAAAAAAATTCTTTCCAGGTTTTCTTCTTTTGCTATTATAGTTTGGCTTAAAAATATTATATTTGATTAAATTGATATTAAATTTGTTGTAAAAAGTCAGGTATTACCACTTGAAGGTAGTTGTCCATGTTCTCTGGCATTTTGAAGAATTGGACAAAACACACAAACAAAGCAAGGAAGTGAAAGCAGAAATTTATTTATTTATCTATTTATCGAGACGGAGTTTTGCTCTTGTTGCCCAACCTGTAGCACCATGGCGCGATCTTGGCTCACCGCAGCCTCCGCCTCCTGGGTTCAAGCGATTCTCCTGCCTCAGCCTCCCGAGTAGCTGGGATCACAGGTGTGTGCCACCATGCCTGGCTAATTTTTGTTTTGTTTTGTTTTGAGACAGAGTCTCGCACTGTCACCCAGGCTGGAGTGCAGTGGCTCGATCTCGGCTCACTGCAAGCTCCGCTTTCTGGGTTCACGCCATTCTCCTGCCTCAGCTTCCCAAGTAGGTGGGACTACAGGCGCCCGACACCATGCCTGGCTAATTTTTTTGTATTTTTAGTAGAGACGGGGTTTCACCGTGTTAGCCAGGATGGTCTCGATCTCCTTACCTCGTGATCTGCCCGCCTCGGCCTCCCAAAGTGCTGGGATTACAGGCGTGAGCCACAGCGCCCAGCCGCAGAAATTTATTTTAAACAAAAGTACGCGCCACAGGGTGGGAGCAGGGTTGAACAAGCCTGAAAAGCGTGGGATACAGAATTTTTTGGAGTTTAAATACCTCCAGAGGTTTCCCATTGGCCCACCATCAGTCTGATTGGTTGCGGGAGGGGACCAGTCAGAATGAAGAGTAGGCCAGTAACCAGTTTGATTGGTTGCAGGAAGGGACCAGTCAGCATGAAGAGTGGGCCCATGATCAGTCTGATTTTTTCAGGAGAGGAGCTATCAGAGGCCTTGCCTTGCCTTGCCTTGCCTTGCCCTGCCCTGCCTTGCCCTGCCTTGCCCTGCCTTGCCCTGCGCCTTGCCCTGCCCTGCCCTGCCCTGCCTTGCCTTCCCCTGCCCTGCCTTGCCTTTCTTTCTTTTTTTTTTTTGAGACCAAGTCTCGCTCTTGTCGCCCAGGCTGGAGTGCAGTGGCGTGCGATCTCGGCTCACTGCAACCTCCGCCTCCCAGGTTGAAGCTATTCTCCTGCCTCAGCCTCCTGAGTAGCTGGGATTACAGGCGCCCACCACCTCGCCCGGCTAATTTTTGTCCTTTTAGTAGAGACGGGGTTTCGCCATGTTGGCCAGGCTGGTCTCGAACTCCTGATCTGAGGGATCCGTCCGCTTCGGCCTCCCAAAGTGCTAGGATCACAGGCGTGAGCCACTACGCCCGGCCGGTATTTTCATTTTTCAACTGCCAGACAGAAAAAGGAGGGCTTGCAACTGCCACGGAGCAACTGCCACGCAGAAAAAGGCGTGGGTGAAAAGAGAGTGGCTTCTGATATCCAGTCAGCAGGAGTCGGCCTGAGGGTCCCCGCCTCCAGACCTTGTTATCCTGCCTCACAGGTAGATACCCAACTTATTTTTTCCATGACTGTCTTGCCTATTCTTTCAATATTATCTCCCCTTATGAATCTTAGAACTTATTTGTCTAATTTCAGAAAGTATCTTATTGATACATTTTTCGAGAAATGTATAGGTTACTTTAGGAATAATTTTGTCAGTGATTAGAAAATCTAAGCAACCTGAAATTCCAGGTTTTCCTAAATACTATTAAAGTAACAACACCTGTCTGTTAAATAAAAATTAAGGAGACCCGCTCTTTTTTTTTTTTTTTTTTTTTTTTTGAAACGGAGTCTCTCTCTGTCACCCAGGCTGGAGTGAAGTGGCGCAATCTCGGCTCACTGCAACCTCCGCCTCCCGGGTTCAAGCGATTCTCCTGCCTCAGCCTCCTGAGAAGCTGGGATTACAGGCATGAGCCACCAAGCCCGGCTAATTTTTGTACTTTTTTAATATAGATGGGGTTTCGCCATATTGGTCAGGCTGGCCTCGAACTCCTGACCTCGTGATCCACTCTCCTCGGCCTCCGAAAGTGTTGGGATTACAGGCGTGAGCCACCGCGCCTGGCCGCAGGGTTTTATTACTTTCGTTTTGTATCTATAGGAGCCTTAGTCATGAAGGAGCCATGATACATATTTATCAAATTTTTGTAATCTTCTTTAGTTACACATTTAGGTTTGTTGTCCACTTACCCCCCCCCCCCCGCCCCTTGTACTTACAAAGGTGTGGTAAACAGCCTTGGGTTTATTATTCCACATCTTTGTATTTCGGTAGCATATATTTCTAGAAAGGAATTACCATCTAGAAGGGAACAAATGCATATTTTAAATTTTGATAGATACTACGAAGTGATCGTCAAACAGGGCATCAGTGACACCCCCGTCCACAATATAGCGGGTGTCCACTTCCACACACTCCTAAATTCTGAATATACAATTTTTAAAACTTTTGCCAGCCTGTAAATCTGAGGCAATCTAGGTCATGGCATTTACCGTTGAGAGACAGATACGCAAAAGAATCTCTCCTATTGCCTGGCTTACTGTCATCATTCCATATTTTCCTTATTTTACCGATCAATCTGTCAGTAAAATATGTGTGATGGCTATAGTGTCAGCGAATCTTAAGGAAAAGAATTAAACATCAGACTCCACCGAGCCCTTAAAGAAATCCACGCAAACAGGTTGCTTTTTGAAATCAACACTTCCGACCAGTAACTGAAGGGATGGAATCTGCTGTAGGGGTATTCGGTGTGTTCCATTCTTAAAGCGGGGAGTTCCTTTTTTTTCCCCCCAGACGAAATCTCACTCTGTTGCCTAGGCTGGAGTGCAGCGGCACGATCTCAGCTCACTGCAACCTCCGCCTCCCGGGTTCAAGCGATTCTCCTGCCTCAGCCTCCCGAGTAGTTGCCTGGGATTACGGGCGCCCACCACCACGCCCGGCTAATTTTTGTACTTTTAGTAGAGACAGGGTTTCACCATGTTGGCCAGGCTGGTCTCGAACTCCTGATCTCGGGCGATCTGCCCGCCTCAGCCTTCCCAATTGCTGCGATTATAGGCGTGAGCCATCGCGCCCGGCTGGGAGTTCCATTTTTCTGGGAGCTCCTCCAAGACCCTTACCCCCACCCCCAGAAGAACCCAGCTGAGTTCGCGGGCCTGCCTTTGTCTCCAGAGCCACGCAGCGCTCCCAGACACGCTGCGCCGGAGAAGGCAGCTTTCTTCTGCCGTCCTCACCCTAGGAAAGGGGGTTTCTTCCCTGGCCCCAGTGTCCGATGCTCAGGGATCGGGTTCTCCCTCCGAGGGTGCACCTGGAAACCCGAGCGTCGCCCCGGGGCTCGCTTTTTTCAGACCGCGTCCCATACAAGTCCGCGACCCTTCCACGTTTGGGACAGGAGTGGGAGAGCTTAGCGCTTCCTATTTTTTTGTGGGGGGAGTGCAGGTGATTATAAATCTGGGCATGCAGACTACAGGCTTATTTGACCTGCAGCCGAGTGCGGGGCCAAGCGCCGGGCTCCTGGGGCGCCACCGTTTCCAGACGCGCAGCCACCCGGACTGGACGAGGGGCGGGGTCCGACCTAACTGCCATCCGATGGACAGCGTTTTTTATTCGCGGTTTTCACCCTGGACTTTGGCTTAGTTAAACCTAAAGAGCTTTTTGGAATCTTATCTTTCCCAACGTCTATGAAGTGGGAACTCAATCTCCAGCCCTCTACGTGTGTGTGTGTGTGTGTGTTCAGCGAAGGGAATTCACCCCGGAGAAGAGCCCTGGGTCACTAAAGCGCCGGGCACCACGAGGGTGGAAAAATCCTTCAGAACCAGCCAATGGCGGTACGGCCTGCCCTGAGGGCCCGCCTCTCCGGCGCCCTCAGACATCACGCAGTCGTTGTTGTGATTGGCGGATTTAGGCGGAAAGCCCGCTAGCCTAAACCACAGAGGGTTTTGATTGGTTGCAGCGAACAGCCGCATTTCTATAGTCCAAACCTGGAGCAGTTTAGTGATAAATCCCGCCCTAAAAGGCATTTGATAACCGTTTTACATGTTGTAAGGCAAAGGGTGATTGGTCAGAGAGCTCACGGATTCAGTCGGTAGTAAACACAACCAGACTTCAGGGACCGTGGATTGGTCAGTTTTTCCGGGGGCTAAGTAAATTCCTCCAGGTTCCGCGCGCCGGCTGGCTGCACTCCTACCCCGGCCCCGCCCTTCCCATTGCTGATTGGTTGCAGCCCAACTGGGAGAGGCGGAATGGGGCGGAGTAGGCGCTCTTGCATTACGTCACTTCCGCTTATCCTCGGGCGCCGCCGCCGTGTTCTCAGAGTGCTGCGGCGAACTGGCTGGAGGAGCTAGGGGACTAGAGGCGGGGTGGGAGGGGGGCGGGTGGAAGGGGGAGGAAGTCCCGTAACGGAGACGCTGGTCAGGACGTTCCCACCTCCTCTGACACTGCCGAGTCCGATCGGAGAGGGGTCACCGCCTCCTTCAGCGAGGAGGAGGGGGGCGGAGCCCGACTCAGGTGAGGAGACCCCGTCAGCGAGTATCGTGATGGCGGGCGCGCTCACGTGGGGAAGGTTGAGCACCAGGGGCGCGCCAAGGCGTCGGGGAGCGCGCAGACGTGTACTGGTGCCCCCGGACTACTCTGGCTGTCTTTCGGAGGGGAGCATTGTTACCGTTGGAGCCAAGGGGCCAGGCGGGTTCTTCTGCGCAGGCGTCCCCGGTGTCCCGACGCCAGGCTGTCTGCGGGGTGGGGCGGGGGCTGGTACTCCTGTGGATCCCCGGCTGGCGACGTAGGTTCCCGAATGGGGTGGGAAAGGCCTCAGGACCAGCGGCCTGGCGGGATGAAGAGAGGATCTGCTGCCCTGCGGGATGTGGTCGGACGGCTCCCTTGCCCCCATCCTGGGTCTTGAGCGACGAGGTTTCATTTCACCAGAGCAAGGCCATAGGCAGACTGCCATCGGGAGCCAGCGGCCGACCCTGGAGGGGTGGAGCCAGTGTTTCGGAATGCCCCAACTTGTTATGAGAGGACTGAAGTGTTTAATAGGCATTTATTGAATGCCCACTACTCCCAGGCTTCGTGCGAGGAGCTGTGGGGGATGCGGTGGTAAGACACTGCCGTCCCATCTTCTCCTGTTTGGAGGACAGATTTGTATGTAAATAATAAAAGGCAGTGAATTAAGGGGTGTTGAAGGTTAGTTTTTTCCTTTCATAATGGTCATTTTTTTTTAAGTCAGTCAGCATTCTGGCATAGTGAAGGATATTGTGGAAACTAATTTTCTGAACAGAAGGCAAATCCTAAATAATTTGGAGGAAAAATTTTAGGTGAAAGCACAGTAAAGTTGATTACTAAGTAGTATCTTCTGACTCTAGTTAACTTGAATTAATAGAAGGAACTCTTCACCTTCAAAAATTGAAGCAAAAATATTCCAAAACATGTTCTCATATTTTTCACTTGTATTAAGTAGAGGACATTACGGGCTTTTCTTTAGAGGTTGAAGAGAATGCTGTGCCTTAGTCATTAAGTCATTGGTAATTTGTTGTCCTAGTATGGGCTGTTGTGCTTAGATGTAAAAGGCTGGGCAGAACTTGCTTTTCATTTGCCTAAACTCTTGTGATTTCTGTGGGGACGGTGGTTGGCAGTAAGCTAATAGTTCAGAGGGAAAAGTCCAGATGGGAAGAAGACAAGGAATTTTAGAGAAAAGCCCCTAAGCCAAAGGAAACCGTTCACTCTTCCTTTTAACCCTTATGGAAATCTCATCAAATTTGGGAAGATTGACCTGGCCACCACAGCCAGCTTGGTGACCTTACAGGTAAGACTACTTGGGTGGGGACCTGTTTTGGGCCCTTGGGTTTTGCTGAATAAACAGACTCTTTTTTTGAAGAGTCCTGAAGTCAACTCGTTTACTAGAGATTTGCCCCTTTTCCCTAAAAGTTGTGTCAAAACATAACTTTTAGTTAGCTGAGGATGCTGGCAAGCTGGATTTTGGTTAATTGATATGTCTCTAGCAGAATTCTGAAAATGGTAAGATTTGGAGGAAAGGCATCTTACAGACTTAGGAGCGAACGCTCTCAAAAGAGACTCACAAGACTGTCCCCAAAGTGGAAGTAATAAAAAATCACTGGGATATCAAATAGTACTTAAAGAACTCAGCATGAATTATATCGAATTGGAGACTTTAAAATATCTTGTGTTCAGTGAAATTGACAAAACCTGGTGTAGTGCTGACAGAGAATCTTGAATCTGGCTCACATTCGTTTTGGAAATGGAAAAAAGAACCCAAGGTATTGATTCTATGTTAGCTTTCAACTTTTTTTTTAATGTAAATTAATTTTAAATACTTTCCCCCTCTGTCAGTTTTAAGCGTGTGATTTTTCTTTTACTGTACGTAATATTTCTCAAATATGGATGTTGTCTAGTAGAGCCAGTTTTGTTAGTGTAGCAGGTGGGATGGAATGTAGCACTACACTATGCCTTTTGTCTAAGTATGAAGTGAACTTCTCATCTCCTAAAAGACCAGCTGTTTCTGAGTGAACTATTGCTCTTTGCATATGTTCTCATCATTTTCACCACTGAATAGTAGCTTTTAATTTCAAGATCCAGTTTTAGAGGTGCCTTTCATTTTATTAGTTATACATGTATTTCCTAAAAGCTTTGATTTATCTTGACATCCCAAACAGATTAGGTTACTCTGACAATTCGAAGGGTGAGGAGGGCAGAGAAGAATTTTATTGAGTGATGGAACAGCTCTCAGAGAAGAGGGCATGCAGGGGGTGGTCTCTTTCCCAGTGTGGCTGGTTCCGGGGCTTCTTAGGGACTCAGAATGGGGAGTGTGTGCTGATTGGTTTCTGATGCAAAAAGTTTAAAGGGAAGGCCGGGTGTGGTGGCTCACGCCTGTAATTACTGCAATTGGGGAGGCTGAGGCGGGCAGATTGCCTGAGCTCAGGAGTTCAAGACCAATCTGGCCAACATGGTGAAACCCTGTCTCTACTAAAAATACAAAAATTAACCCGGCATGGTGACGTGCGCCTGTAATCCCAGCTACTCAGGAGGCCGAGGCGGAAGAATCGCTTGAGCCTGGGAGGCAGAAGTTGCATTGAGCTGAGAGCATGCCACTGCACACTTGGAGTCTTGGAGACAGAGTGAGACCCTGTCTCAAAAAAAAAAAAAAAACGGTTAAAGCAAAGACACCACTCAAAGGTGGGCACGACAGTGTAGAAAACCAATTAGGAAAGGGGTAGATATATGTAAAATAGGTGAAGGGTGGGGATCAGTCAGAGGAAAGCATGCCAAATGGGAACACAGGTTCTCAATCTGGTCCGTGGATTTGACTTGTAGCTTGGCTTTCAAGCTTTTAAACTGTCTTCGGCTTGGAGGTGGGGTTTCACTGGGGATGTGCCCCTGTCTGCCTAGGCATTTGTCTGTCTCCTGCCTCTATCATAGTAGTCATTGGCAGACAGTTTTCCTTCCTTGAAGACAGGATACCATAAGTAAGCATTATGCCATAGCTTAATTGGCAGTTTTTTTCCTAGTGTTACATGAAATAATGCATTTTATAATCACAGACATCTTAGATTTAATGAAATTTGGTAAAATTAATAGAATTTTAGCTCAGGTGGCACACACCTGTAGTCCCAACTACTTGGGAGTCTGAGGCAGGAGGATCACTTGAGTTCAAACCAGCCCAGGCAACATAGTAAAATCCTGGCTGCCTATCCCCCATAAAGAGACTTTTGTACCCAACTAATTCCTTGTAATTGTAACCAATAAATTTTCCTAATTCGTTTTCCTGCTCTGGAAAATGTTTGTTACTGAAAAGAAGCCTATCGAGCGTGATATTTTTCCTTATGTAAATGGAAATTAACAAATAAAATGTTCATTTTACAAATTTTAAAGGATGATTAAGTGATAGGTCTACTTTTTGGAAATTATACTTGGTAATCTGTTACTTTGTATGGTAACAGGTTTACAAATGCCTTTATTCCTAATTTACTTTTTTTTTTGAGACAGGGTCTCACTCTGTCACCCAGGCTTGAGTGCAATGGCATAATCTGATCTCGGGTCACTGCAACCTCCGCCTCCTGGGTTCAAATGATTCTTGTGTCTCAGCCTCCTGAGTAGCTGGGACTACAGCTCGTGCCACCATGCCCGACTAATTTTTGTACTTTTTGGTAGAGACAGGGTTTCGCCATGTTGGCCAGGCTGGTCTTGAACTCCTGACCTCAGGTGATCCGACTGCCTTGGCCTCCCAAAGTGCGTGATTACAGGCATGAGAGCCACTGCACCTGGCTGATTGCCATTTTCTTAAGTTTAAAATGTTTAGGGTGAGTTGCTCCCCTTTTTTTCTATGCATGATATTGTTGACATGGTATAATTAATTTTTCAGTACATCTTAGTCAATTATAATTTAAAATCCACTCAACCATCTTCCTCTAAAAATACAAGGCTTTCACCT
Organism: Homo sapiens; assembly: GCF_000001405.40. NCBI lineage: Eukaryota > Metazoa > Chordata > Mammalia > Primates > Hominidae > Homo > Homo sapiens. The sequence goes on along the minus strand of NC_000009.12, from coordinate 37,461,280 downwards.
TTATAGTCCTTATGGTTTAGTCTTTTTTGCGAAGAGGATTTGAGGAAGGAAGACCAGGAAAACAAAATCCAGTGTTTGGGCATTTGGTTGTGGGAGGAGCCCAGAAATGCTACAAAAATCTAAACACATTTAAGTTACTTAGATTGTACTTATTTTGAATAGATGATCAAAAGCAACTCTGCAGGTCAAGTGAAGGTCACTTGCTGAGCATTATTGATTTGATAAATGATTGAGAAGTGAAGGCATATACTGCTTTGAAAGTAAACTAGGTGTAAGAAATGGATTAAGTCCATGTTCATCTTCTCTGTTGGAAAGGCACCATAATAATAGTGTCTCCAAAGCTTTGTCATAGTTTTCATCTTGATAAAAGTTTAGTTTTTTTTTTTCTTTCTACTTTGTTCTGTTTTGCTTTTGAGATAGGGTCTTGCTCTGTCACCTGGGCTGGAGTGTAGTGGGATGGTCATAACTCACTGCAGCCCCAAACTCCTGGGCTCAAGCAACCCTCCCCCACCCAGCCTCCCAAGTAGCTGGGACTACAGGCATGCACCACCACGCCCAGCTAATTTTTGTATTTTTTGTGGAGGTGGGGGTCTCCCTATGTTTTCCAGGCTGGTCTTAGACTCCTGGACTCAAGCATTTCTCCCACCTTGGCCTCCCAACATGTTGAGATTATAGGCGTGAGCCACCATGCCCAGCACCCAGCTAATTAAAAAAAAATTTTTTTGTAGAGAAAAGGTTTTGCTATGTTAACCAAGCAGGTCTCAAATGAGCCTCCCGCTTCAGCCTCCCAAAGTACTGGGATTACAGGTGTGAGCCCCGCATCTGGCCTAATTTTTTTGGGGGGGGAGTGTTCACTCTTATTGCCCAGGCTGGATCCAGCGCAATGGCGCGATCTTGGCTCACTGCAACCTCCACCTCCCGGGTTCAAGCGATTCTCCTGCCTCAGCCCCCGAGTAGCTGGGATTACAGGCATGCACCACCATGCCCGGCTAATTTTTTATTTTTGGCAGAGACAGGGTTTCTCCATGTTGGTCAGGCTAGTTTCGAACTTCCGACCTCAGTTGATCCACCCGCCTCGGCCTCCCAAAGTGCTGGGATTACAGGCGTGAGCCACTGTGCCTAGCTGGACTAATTTTTTTCATTAAGAAAGAAGTTTCTTGGCCAGGCCCAGCATTTTGGGAGGCTGAGGTAGGCAGATCACAAGGTCAGTAGCTTGAGACTAGCCTGGCTAATATGATGAAACCCAGTCTTTACTAAAAATTAAAAAAAATGGCCTGGCGCAGTGGCTCACGCCTGTAATCCCAGCACTTTGGGAGGCCGAGACGGACAGATCATGAGGTCAGGAGATCGAGACCATCCTGACTAACAAGGTGAAACCCCGTCTCTACTAAAAATACAAAAAATTAGCCAGGTGTGGTGGCGGGCGCCCGTAGTCCCAGCTACTTGGGAGGCTAAGGCAGGAGAATGGCATGAACCCGGGAGGCAGAGCTTGCAGTGAGCCGAGATCGCACCACTGCACTCCAGCCTGGGCAACAGAGCAAGACTCATTTCAAAAAAAAAAAAAAAAATTAGCTGGGCATGGTGGTGCACGCCTGTAATCCCAGCTATTCGGGAGGCTGAGGCAGGAGGATTGCTTGAACTGGAGGTTGCAGTGAGCTGAGATTGTGCCACTGCACTCCAGCCTGGGTAACAGAGTGAGACTCTGCCTGAAAAAAAAAAAAAAGTTTCTTGATCTGTCAGGGGTAAAAGACATGTTTAAAAGTTGTTTATGCTACACATCAGTTGGGATTGGAAAGAAAAGAAAACTTTTTTTTTTTTTTGAGATAGAGTTTTGCTCTTGTTGCCCAGACTGGAGTACAGTGGTGCGATCTTGGCTCACTGCAACCTCTGCCTCCCAGGTTCAAGCGATTCTTCTGCCTCAGCCTCCCGAGTAGCTGGGATTACAGGCATGTGTCACCACGCCCCACCAATTTTTTGTATTTTTAGTAGAGACGGCTTTTCTCCATGTTGGTCAGGCTGGTCTCAAACTCCTGACCTCAGGTGATCCACCTGCCTTGGCCTCCCAAAGTGCTGGGAGTACAGGCTGAGAAGCAGGGGCTGGCATGCCCATGCCCTGTTTTACATTTTTTGTAAATCTCTTTAATATGTAGTTTAATAGAAGACAGCTGGATTCCATTAAATGCTTCTGCATTCATTTTGCCGTGATACACTATTTTGATTAAAATATACCAAAAAACTCCAGCATCACACAAATATGTAGTTGGAAAGGGAGGATTATTTCAGTAGATTTTTCAGATAATTTTGGATATTCTTACTCTGATACTGTACCAAAACTCCACAAGTGGTATTTTCTTAAGTGATTAGTGCAATGTGGAATCTGAAATTATGTCAATGAACTTTTCATATTCTGTTGCATTAAAATACATTAGCTTATGTTTTGTACCTTGAATGAATTTTTACCCATACCTTGTTTTATAGCATTATTGTTACATGGCTACATGGTCATTTGGAAAATACTGATTTCAGAGTTATGCAGATCTTCCAAACGTTGACTCATTTATTATACAATGTAAAAAAATCACATTTCATTAATATCACCAATGATCTGTCAGAAGAATTTGAGCATGTGGGAAGCTGTCAAGCTCACAGTGACAGATACAAGTTTTCCAAAATACTAATTTTCACCTGAATTCTCAAACTTTTTTATTGGCAATAAGTAGTACTAAGTTATCTTATTTAAAATAACAGGCTTGTTTCATTCATTTTTTCATTCATTTTCAAGAAAATGGTAAATACTTCTAAATAACCATAGTTTGTCATTCGTTCTTTCAAGTAAAAATAGTGTCCCATGAGAAAAGCAATTAGTTGAGCCACCTCAAAAACTGCACAAGTGCTTTTTCTTGAGGCAACTTGTATTTCAGAATGCAGGAGGAAAACTTCAGGTGTACTTCCCATTTTATCACACATATTGAAAACAGGTACTCAAGAGTTGAGACTTAATAACAGATGTAGGGAAGGGGAGGCTGGGTCTCCATTGGAGTGAGCATTTGGTTAGTAGTAGCTGTGTTCAGCACAGATGTTTGGCATTCTGACCTGATTGTTCCTGCTGCCTAGCTTAATTTCTTCCCAGTTCAATCTTACGTATCCAGCCTTCCCATCAATTCCATGATCAAACTAATAGCCTTTCAGTAAATTACTTTTATGTTTAGGATCAATTTTTGTTGCTGCAACCAATGACTCTGGCTGATGTGCTGCTTAAACTTAAGAAAAAAACCCTAAAATACTTTTTAAGAAAGTAATCTCAAAAGTGATGATAGCCTTTAGTTCAAAAGTATGTGCCTCATGGTTAACCTTTCTGATGACTTGTAATTATTAACATCAGTTATGAGCAGTCACTATCCAATACCTACCTTTCTAGCCATACTATTTTCCAGCCAAATCGAATACATTGCTTTACCCACCTCAACCCCTTCTCCACCTTTACCTCTGTCTAGGGGTTTGTCCAAATCCAACCAAGACCTAGCTCTGTTGTCAACGCTACCATGAAGCTAGAAATAACCTTTGCCTTCTCCAAACCATTGAGAGGTTCTTTCACCTCTTATGTGGCACTTAGTGCCTTCCACTTTGTAATATCGTTATTCATGTATATCTTATTTCCACTAAATACCTGTGACAGTTAGTACTGTCCCATACAAATCTATGCTCCACAGCGCTTAACCTTGAACAAGTAAGCACTTTAAAACATTAGATGATGCTGGCATGGTGGCTCACACTTGTAATCTCAGCACTTTGGGAGGCCAAGGTAGGAGGAATACCTGAGCCCAGGAGTTCGAGACCAGCCAGAGCAACATAGTGAGACCCGTCTCTACAAAGAATAAAAAATTAGCTGGGCATGGTGACGTGCCTGTAGTACCAGTATTTGGGAGGCTGTGGTGGGAGAGTCACTTGAGCTAGGGAAGTGGAGGCTACAGTGAGCTGTGATTGCACCACCACACTCCAGCCTGGGTGGCAAAGCAAGACTCTGTCTCAAAAACAAAACAAAACAAAAAACATATTACATGAATGAACTTGTATACAAAAAATACACAAGTACCTTTATGGGCTGTTGAGGTCCCTTGAGCTGTATACTACCTAGCTCCAAGCTGCTGGGCCTCTTTTCCCCCTTAGTGGGTCAGCTGTCTCTTTCTGCAGCTATCAGCTTAACTTCATTTAAGCAGCCACTCCTTGCTCTCATTCTGGAGTTGCTGCTTCAGTTAGTTAGGGAACTAGAAAAACTTGAATTTTGTTTCGAACAAAAGACTGTGTGAGGGCTTAAGGGACTTTCCTATGAGAAAATCTTTCATCCATAGTCTTTGATCTTTATTTTGGATATTCTGAGACTTTTTCTTCTGGTTTTTGGCTGATTTTAGAGATAGTTGTGATTCTCAGAAAAGTGATTTTTGGGTAATACATTATACTTCATCCATATATAGCAAAAGTTTATTCAGCAAATAATTTACTGAGTATTTTATGTCAGGCACTTTGAGAGAGAGAAAATACAGTTCCTGCCCTCAATAAGCTGTTTTAGTAGAAAAAGCATTTGAGCTTGTACTAGGAACCTAAGTAGGGCACTAATACCTTTTCTTATTCAAACTGAGTTACAGAGCTCTAGGTCAATTCATCCCTAGGGATTTTGGCCTGGAAAACAAGGTGGCAATGTGGAGAGAATTGGAGAGTTAGGTGAGATGGTCAGGGCTTCCAGCTCGCCTTCCTCAGTCATGCTCATCTTTAGTCACTAGTGGAATTTTCCTGTTTTATAGAACTAATCTGTTCAGTTTCTGAGCCAACCCTGACAGAGCAGAACCAGAGATATTATGACATTAGTCATGCTGACAGGTCTGGTTTCTTGGGGTTAACCCAGGCATCATTGTGCCCACCTAGTTCCAGCCTTCCCCTACTCCCACTTTGCTGGTCAAATTAGAACAATGGATGGATGTTCCAGTACTCCGCTCTGTCTGACTTGGAGCCCTGTCAAAATTCCTAGCCTGGGCCAGGTGGGTGGGTGGCTCACGGCTGTAATCCCAGCACTTTGGGAGGCTGAGGCAGGTGGATTGATTGAGCCCAGGAGTTTGAAACCAGCCTGGGCAACATGGCAAAACCCCCTATCTACAAAAAATACAAAAATTAGCCAGGCATGGTGACACGCACCTGTAGTCCCAGCTACCCAGGAGGCTGAGGTGGGAGGATCACCTTGAGCCTGGGAGGTCAAGGCTGCAGTGAACCGTGATCAGGCCACTGTACTCCAGCCTGAGTGAGAGAGTGAGATCCTGCCTCAAAAAAAGAAAAAAAAAAAAATCCTAGCCTGCACTTCCGGAGCCTGTGGTAGGAGGATTGCTTGAGCGCTGGAGTTCAAAAGCAGCCTGGGCATATTGAGACCCCACCTGTATTTAAAAAAAAAAAATCCTAGCCTACTTGAGTGGGTCCTTGCTTTGTTCTGCTCTCTGACTTTTGTTTTCATCTATATCGTCTCTACAAGTGGAGGAAATGTTCTGTCTAGTTATTTTTCTGCTGATGAAATGGGAGAGTTCTCTGAACCCCCCTCGCAGGACGTGTGACAATGATGTGGCTCGTCTGTTTGGCTGCCACCACTGCTAAAACCCTTTACAGGAGGAGGAGCACAGAGACAGGCAGGGGCAGGAGCTGGGGCAAGCTCTTTTAGGCTCTGGCCCCACGGTGGCATCTAGGGGTGGGTGCCTGCAGCTCCCGAAGCCCCATTGGGCATGCTACAGTGCTCTTTTAGCTTGCCATATGCAGATGGGTTAAGTGTTAACCAGCTCAGTACCTTCTTGGTATTTGGGTTCTTGTCCAGCATCCAGGAAGAATTGGGTCACACATGGACTTGAAGGATGGTGTATTCGGGATTTTATTGGATGATGGAGGTGGCTCTCAGTGGGATGGATGGGGAGCTGGAAAGGGGATGGAGTGGGAAGATGATCTTCCCCTGGAGTTCGGCTGTCCTGTGGCCGATCTCTCTGACCATCCCCAGCTGAATGGCTCTTGACATTCAGATGCTCCTTCTCTTCTCTCCTTGGCCACGCTGCTCTTATGCTCCTCTGCACATTCTGTTTGTCTGCTCATCTGCCTGTGGAACCTGGGGTTTGGGGTTTATATGTGTACAGGATAGCATGGTGTGGCAGGCCAAAAGGCAACATTTGGGTGCAAAAACAGGGATGCCTGTTCCCATTTAGGGCCACAGGTTTCCAGGCTTGAGGGTGGGGCCTTAGCTGGGGTACTGCCTTCTTCTACCCAGCATTTCCCTGTCTCCTGTCCATATCACTAGGGTTTTTGTTTTTGCTGAGCCCACACAGAAGTAGGATCTGCTAGGGTTTTATCTAGATTGGGCTACTGAATGTTAAGGATTCCTTAGAATGTTAATTTGCTTTCTGCAGGTGACAACTGTGTGGATCCTGCCTGGCAGGCAAGCAGCAAATTACTTGATATGGTAGTAGATGATGTTTGAGTATGGGTGCGGTTTTTGTTATGAATGAAGTATATTATTGAGAAGCATGTGGGTATATCAGTGTATAAATTAAATAGTTTAAAATGTGCTGGCTTGTTCTCCGAAGACAGAAAGGAACTTTATTAGCCTAAGTAAAGCATTATTAGAAAAGTAAATCTATTGAGAAAAGTCATCTTTTGATTATTCATGTTAATGTAATGGACAGTAATGAGAGTGTATTTTCTTAATTATATTTAGTTTTGAAATTCCTAAATATTTGTTCCTGCAGATAACAAATACTGAACTTTACACTTGCTTTGGGTTAGACACAGTTATACATCAGTAGATTGCTTGCCACACTCTCCTCCAGCTATGTTGACTCATATTGTCACATTTTGGAGCCTTTTAAAGAGACCTGAAGCCTTTTTCCTTGGTTAGAAGGCTTCAGACAGGCAGCTTTGGGTAAAACTCTTAATTTACTCAGCCTGAGCTCTGTTAAGGCTTTTAGACTGGCCTTCTGACTTTGCTAGAATTACTTGAGAGTTCTGAGTAAGAATGATCTTGATTCATGATTCCCTTCCATCAGAGCAGATAATAGCAAATTTTATATCCCCCAAATGAACTGAATTTTTAAAATATTCCCTCTAGATCCAAAAAAGTTCTAAAGGTTTTGAGATAGCTGTATTATATAGGTTTTCCTGGGAGATGTAATTTGAACTTCATGTTTGACTGTGTGGCAGAGATCCAACACAAACCAGGTTAAGGTAAAAGGGGAGTTCACTGGCTCATGAAACAAGTCCTAGGGTGGTGCCAACTTTAGTCATACCTGGATTCCAGAGTCTTGATACCTTCTGGACAGTGTTTTTGGTATCACTCTCTTCTGTGTTGGCTTCGTTCTCAAACAGGCAAAAATGGTCACTCTCAGTGCTGGATTTATAACTCCCTCACAGTTTGTAATCTGGGTTGAGATAGTCTCTTTCTTGATATACCAGCAAAAGCCCACAGGCAGACTCCATTGGCAGAACTTGGGTCACATACCCAAGTGATTGTCTGAAACAATCACTGTAATCAAGGAGAGTGGGTACCAAGTTGACTGGGTCTCCCTGGATCCTCCGTCTCCTGGTAAACTCAGGTGTTTGGGGCAGTTCGATCTGTACTACATGGACTCATGGACTAAGAATGGGTGGGAAGTGATTTTCTCCAATGACATAGAGGGACCCCCTCTCCCCGAAAAGGTGGAGATAGTATTTGAATGTTGATTTGTGGGGAAATGGTAAAAAAGTTTCACACCGTTACAGTTACTTAGTGCTGTGTAACAGATCTGAAAACTTCATGGTGCTCACACCTGTAATCCCAACACTTTGGAAGGCTGAGGCGGAAGGATCCCTTGAGCACAGGAGTTCAAGACCAGCCTGGCCATCATAGGGAACCTTGTCTCTACAAAAAAAAAAAGCTGCGTGTGGTGGTCTGTGCCTGTAATCCCAGCCAACGGGAGGCTGAGGTGGGAGGATTGCTTAAGCTCAGGAGTTCAAGGCTGTAGTGAGCTATAACTGTGCCAGCACTCCAGCCTGGATGACAGAGCAAGACCCTGTCACTATTTAAAGAGAGAGAGAGACAGACAGACAGACATGTGGCATCTTAGAATCCAATGAAGGAATAGAGATTTCTTGTTCACCTAATGGTTATGGGACAGGGGTAGGGGATTGAGAGTGCAACCTATATGATGTAAATATACAAGAATATTCCTTACTAATAGACAGTAGCATCTGTTTATCCATATGGTTACATGTTACTTTATTTTTTAGTATCACCAGGTGTGTAGCAGATACTGTGTAGCTCTGACCAGATCCCCTTGATCCCTATTACCGGTTCTGTGCACCCATCCTATAGCTATTGTGTGCTTAACAGCTTGCATCTGTGACTCTTGAGGACTGTCTTTGGGTGACTGGCATCACTTTGTGCATGGGCCCAGAGAACCAGAAGTGCCTGGCAGTTTACATTGCCCTAGGGAGGCTTTTAGTCATTGACTGAGTGACTGCAGGGCTATGAAAGACCAGCACCTTTGCCTTGAGGTGGCTCAAACTCAGAGGCATTGTTTATACTCCAGAGCACCCCTGCTAGAACACACTAAGGCTGGGATTTTGCCCCATATTATACCTTTACTTGGCTGCTGCTTCCTTCTCCTGCTCCTTACTCCCATTTTCTCCTGGGAACTTCTTGATAAATCACTTGCACTTGAATCTTTCTCTTATGATTTGCCTCTGGGGAACCCTAATTAAAACAGTATGAATCTAAGCCTCCTTTGTATTCATAGTCTTTGGAATCACTTTTGAGCTTCATATTAGTAGTGATATACACTGCTATTTCCAACTAATTCTTGGAATATTGACTTCTGGGTTTTGGGGATGGCCAAAACATATATCAAAAATGATGCTAGTATTTGGTTTAACTCATGCTGCATTTGGTTTAACTCATGACCCCATTTTTACTGTGAGTTATGCTTCTGTTACTAGATATTTTAAATAGCTTATCTTAAAATTCAGTCAGTGCAATTGAAACTGCCTTTGCAAAATCACAACTGAGAAAATTAATGACAGCGAAAGATATCAGACCTAACCGACCCCATCTTGCTTCTAACCTCTAAACTGTTCTTGTTCATTCCTGTGCGTAGGCCAAACTAGCCTTGAGAAGGAATTTTGTTTACAGTTTAAAGCTAAACTGTTCTTGTAAAACAAATGAAAGGCCACCAGCCACCAAGTTAGAATGAGAGGGGTTGGGATTCTAAATATTACCAGCCATCATTAGGTAGGTCATAAGAGTTGCAACTTCCCCAATTACTCTTGAAGGTAACATCACTATTGTGAACCTCAGATCGGCCTTTTGAGATGTCTTTTCAGGCTTTTGCATTTCTGACAACTGGATGGCCCCACCTGGACCTGCCAACCAGTTCTGTATTCCCCACCCAGGAACTGACTCAGCATAAGAGGACAACTTCGACTCCCTAGATTTCATCCCTAAGCCAACCAATCAGCACTCCTAACTCACTGGCCCCCTACCCACCAAATTATCCTTAAAAACTCTTTTAAGGATAAAAAGCTTTTTAGGGGGTGATAATGACAGTTTTTTCTAATTGTATGTGTGTCGTTATAGTCTATTCAGGCTTTCTTTATACATTTATCATCTTACCAAAAGTGTATATGTAAATTTGCTAAGTGCACGTCTGTCTTTTTTTTTTTTTTTTTTTTTTGAGATAGTCTCACTCTGTCACCCAGGCTGGAGTGCAGTGGCACTACCTTGGCTCAGTGCAATCTCCATCTCCCAGGTTCAAGCGATTGTTGTGCCTCAGCCTCCCAAATAACTGGGATTACAGGCCTGCGCCACCACACCCAGCTAATTTTTGTAGAGACAGGGTTTTGCCATGTTGGTCAGGCTGGTCTCAAACTCCTGGCCTCAAGTGATCCACCCACCTCGGCCTCCCAAAATGCTGGGATTGTAGTCGTGAGCCACCGTGCCTAGCCAGTGAACATCATTTAACGAATCAGTAGTTCTACAAGATTTAAGACAAACACCAGGCCTTACCTTCCCTGCTTTCCATTTTCTTTTCTTTTTAAATTTTTTTTTGGAGATAGGGTCTCACTCTGTCACCCAAGCTGGAGTGCAGTGGTATGATCTCAGCTCACTGCACCCTCCACCCCTGCAGGCTCAAGCTGTCCTCCCACCTCAGTCTCTTGAGTAGCTGGTACTATAGGTGTGCATCACCACACCCGGCTATTTTTTTGTATTTTTGGTAGAGACGGGGGTCTCACCATGTTGCCCAGGTTCCTGTTTTCCATTTTCTCTTCTCCAAGACTACCATTTTCAACTCTTAGCTAATTCTTTTGGTAATTACATGTATATATTAAATAATATGCTTGGAGCTAATTCATTTTTTTTTTTTTGAGATGGAGTTTTGCTCTGTTGCCCAGGCTGGGGTGCAGTGGTGTGATCTCGGCTCACTGCAACCTCCGCCTCCCAGGTTCAAGCGATTCTCCTGCCTCAGCCTCCTGAGTAGCTGGGATTACAGGTACGTGCCACCAAGCCTGGCTAATTTTTGTATTTTTAGTAGAGACGGGGTTTCACCATGCTGGCCAGGCTGGTCTTGAACTCTTGACCTCAGGTGATCTCCCAAAGTGCTGGGATTATAAGTGTGAGCCACCGTGCCTGGCAGGAGCTAATTCTTAATTTCAGTTTAGGCATTATCTATTGACATCTCCTTGGTTAAAGGTAATACTGTTCTTTATGAATTTGTTAATTTCTCCTTGTAATTCTGCCAGTTTTGCTCAATGCATATTACTCATTCTTCTATCTTCCAAATATAATTAAAATTTTTGTTAGATCAGCAATTCGCAAAGTATAGTCCAGTGACCTGTATGGGCCCCACAGACTTTTTCAAGGGGTCTGTGAGGTCAGAACTTTTTATAATGATACAAAGACTTACTTGCTTTTTTTTTGAAGCAGCTTCGTTGTCTGGGGTAAATACCTGGGGTTCGTTGTCTCGGGCCAAGAAAATTTGGGACACAGACACACTCGAGTTTAGGAATGGAGGTTTAATAGGCCAAAGAAAGAAACAAAGAGAAAGGAAAACAGCTCTCTCTCTAGTGAGACAGAGGAGCTTCTGAAAGGAAACGACCAGCCGGTGGCAGAATTTGCCAGATTTTATAGGCAGGCTTGAGGAGGTGGTGTCTGATTTACGTAGGGCCCACAGATTGGTTTGATCACGTGTGACGTTTATATAGCACATGGGGAAGGCTGGCCATTCCACCCTAATCTTATTATGCAAATGGGCTTTCCCCTTGGCCTGCCCCATTGTCTGCTGCTTACCGTACACATTGCTGAAAAAGAGAAGGGAAGATGAAGCCACCATTTTGAACATGATTGGCACCACTGCTGGCATCTATGTCTGCAGCTCGATTTTACAGGCTGCTCTTTGTTAGAAAGAAAAATCACTTGGGGCTGCTTTTTATTAAAAGGAAAACCTTACCGAGGGCTGGCTTACCCTCACTATCTGCTTAATTTGTCTTTAATTCCTGTATCATTTTTACTCATTCTTTTTTTTTTTTTTTTTTTTTGAGAGTCTCATACTATCGCGCAGACTAGAGTGCAGTGGTACAGTCTTGGCTCACTGCAACCTCCACCTCCTGGGTTCAAGCAATTCTCATATGCCTCGCCTCCCGAGTAGCTGAGACTACAGGCATGTGCCACCACACCTGACTAATTTTTGCATTTTTAGTAGAGGCAGGGTTTCACCATGTTGGCCAAGCTGGTCGCAAACTCCTGGCCTCAAGTGATCTGCCCACCTGGACCTCCAAAAGTGCTGAGATTACAGGCATGAGCTACCGCACCAGGCCTTTTTTTACTCATTCTTTCATGAATGTAGAGTGGAGTGCATGGAGTAGGCCGTGCAATGTGTGATACCACAAGCCTGAATGCAGAAGCAAATATGAGAATCCAGTTGTCTTCTCTTAATGCCAAAATATAAAACAATACCCCTCTTATGTTTTTGGAAACTATTTATTTATTTTTTAAATAACTTTTTTCTTTTTGTTATATAGAATCTCACTACGTTGCCCAGGCTGGTCTTGAACTCCTGGGCTCAACTGATCCTCCCACCTAGGCCTCCCAAGGTGCTAGTTTTACAGGTGTAAGCCACCGTGCCCGGCCCAGTTGTTTATTAAAATGTTATGTTAACATGTAATTGTTTATTATTTATTTATTTATTTTGAAACGGAGTCTCGCTCTGTCACCAGGCTGGAGTACAGTGGCGTGATCTTGGCTCACTGCACTCTCCGCCTTCTGGGTTCAAGCGATTCTCCTGCCTCAGCCTCCCCAGTAGCTGGGACTACAGGCACACGCCACCACGCCCAGCTAATTTTTGTATTTTTAGTAGAGTCGGGGTTTCACCATGTTGGCCAGGATGGTCTCGCTCTCTTGACCTCGTGTTTGCCCACCTCGGCCTTCCAAAGTGCTGGGATTACAGGCGTGAGCCACTGTGCCCGGCTGTAATCGTTTATTACTATTTTTAAATAAGTTGACAAATAGTTTTAAATTTTCTGTTTTAATTTCTTTAGAGTTCCTTTTTTAAGAAAATCTACTCTACTTCCTTAGCTGTCCATGGCAGAGTAATCAGGACTTAATAAATTGCTAATTGAAGATGTTACAGTGTAACACCAACTCATCTGGCCTTCTGTTGTTTGGTTCTTTCTTTCATTTCCAGGAAGATCACCTCTTACTCAGTAAAACTATGCATTTCCAAAGTCACATGGATTAATATGTAGAGGGGCCCTATTTGTCAGAGGGATGCTAGGTGGACATCTGTCATTTGCAGCTCCCCAGAATCTTCTGAGCACCCCTTCCCCCCTTCACATTTGGATAGTCTGCAAATTGTGATTCCCACTTTCCCAAGGTGGAATCATAGTTATGATGCAGACATTAGCCTCTGTATTGCCTGAAGATGGTCTGCCAACAAGGTATAACAGGAAGTTCCAAGCATCCCTAAAGTGTTTTGAGAGGAATGTGGAGAACTTGAGTTGGTCTCAAGGCCTGTGATGGGGGATCTAGTGTAGAGCTGAGGATCTCTAGGCTGATGGGAAGTTAAAAGATTGTAGGTACTGTTTGCCTGTCTTCCAGTATTACTTAAACCTTTTATCTTTGTTGGGGTTGTGTTTAGCTACCTCAGTAGCCTCTTTTCAAAGATCCCCTGGCTCTTGGAAAATTTCCTCAAAATGGTGTTTCTGGGACCACAATTTAAAAAAATTGTTTATTTATTTATTTTAGAGATGAGGGCTTGCCATATTGCCTAGGCTGTTCTCCAACTCCTAGGCTCAGGTAATCTTCCCATCTTGGCCTTCCAAAGTACTGGGAATTACAGATATGAGCCACCATGCCCAGCCCCGTAATTTTTAAGTAAGCCATTTTTCTCATATAAGTTCTTTTGCTTATCTAAAAAAAAAAAAAAAGAAGCATTGAGCAGAATATTAGTGCCCTTTTAAATCAGTATGCCTAGTTGAAATACTATTTATTTGTGAAGTCAGTCTTTTATGGCCCCCCTCACCTATTAACTCAGGAAAATAATTCCCACCTGCCACTGTTGTTTTGAAGATTAGAAATAATGTAAATTAAAAGTACTTAGCATAATGACTGTCAGGCTCTCAGTAATTACTGTTATTATACCTGTAATCCCAGGCTGGCAGGAGGATTGCTTGAAGCCAGGAGTTCAAAGCTGCAGTGAGCTATGATCATGCCACTGTACTCTAGCCTGGGCAACAGGGTGAAACCCTGTCTCAAAAAAAAAGCACAGTAAAAAATATATATTTTATTACCACTACCATTACCTCTGTTACTGTCACCAGTGAGACTGTTACTACAATGCTGGGTGATATGGCTTGGCTCTGTCCCAACCCAAATCTCATCTCAAATTGAATCCCCACATGAAGGGAAGGAGGTGATTGGATCCTGGGGGTGGTTTCCCCCATGCTGTTCTCCTGATAGTGAGTTCTCACAACATCTGGTGGTTTTATAAGTGACAGTTTCTCCTTCACACACTCACACTCTTCTGCCACCATGTGAAGAAGGTCCTTGCTTTCCCTTTGCCTTCCACCATGATTGTAAGTTTCCTGAGGCCACCTTAGCCATGCAGAACTGTGAGTCAATTAAACCTCTTTCCTTTATAAATCACCCAGTCTTGGGTATTTCTTTATAGCAGTTGAAAACAGACTAATACACTGGGTCTATTCCCCACTGTAGGAGAGAAAGCAGTAACGCTGAGTGTCTAGTGTTCCTTGTTTTTGCCTGTTGAGCCCAAGCTTCCATGGTCGCTTAGAAGAGCAACTCTGAGTCTTGTACAACTTCCCACCACAATTCCCTGTTTATTTTATTCCTCAAACCAGAATGTTTCTTCCCTGTTACTGCTACAAAATAATTACCCCTCTGGAACTTGGCACTTATTCATATATGAGTGTACTTTCTAAGGCAGGGCTATAGACTTAATGAGCAGTAATTGCATTTTGTTTAATCTCCCCAAAGCCTTAAGCTCTGTGGGCCCTGAGTGAGTCGGGTGGGGACCCGGGATGTGTGTGCTGCTGCCTGCCACTGCTGGCTCTCTGCTTTCTGCCGGAAAGCTTGGTAAAGCAAGAAGGGATGTGGCAGTGGCTGCATCTTTGGAGATCTGATCTCTCATACATGATAGCAAAGAACAGACACCTCAGTGGGAAAGTATGTGTGATCTATTTTGTTGTTGAAAGTTCATCAAAGCTCAACAAACATAGGCAAAACAATATGGCCAACATGTGTCTGCTGCTTTGAGGCATTTGCTTTTCCGATAGTTAACTTTCCAAGTATAGCTGAATAGCATAATAGTCTCAGTCGCCACAGTAGACCCTTGAATTTTGTGGACTTAGTTTGCCATTTCAGTTATTTCCCAGGATCCTGACCAACTTTGGCCTGTAAGGCTGTATGGCTGGGACATCAGAGCAAGTGGTTGGGCCTGGGGAGCCACTTGGCACCCATGCTGCCTTCTTATGAAATGCCATGATGGTATTTGTGAATTTTGGAGATTTGCAAAGATCTCAGGTATATCCCTTTAGAATATCATAGATCTACCTTTTTTAAATTTAATTTTATAAATATATGTGTATACATTTTTATGTATTTATTTATTTGAGACAGAGACTTGCTCTGTCGCCCAGGTTGCAGTGCAGTGCAGCGATCTTTGCTCTCTATAACCTCTGCCCCCTGGGCTGAAGCAGTCTTCCCACCTTAGCCTCCCAAGTACACTGGGACTACATGGCAGGCACTCGCCACCATGGCCGGCTACTTTTTGCATTTTTAGTTGAGATGGGGTTTTGCCATGTTGCCTAAGGTGGTCTCGAACTCCTGAGCTCAAACAATCTGCCCGCCTCAGTCTCCCAAAGGGTTAGGATTACAGCCATGAGCTACCACACCCAGCCTATAGTTCCATAAGGCTTATAGGTAAAAAGAAACAAAAACAACAACAAAACAGCAGTCCCCTGTCCCATCCTTTTCCCCATCAATTACCCACTCCTCAGAGGCAACCACTTTCAATTATTTCAGCTGTTTCTTCCACTATTGACTTCCATATTTCTTTTTTCTTTTTTTTTTTTTGACAGGGTCTCACTCTGTCTCCCAGATTAGAGTGCAGTGACGTGATCTCTGCTCACTGCAAGTTCTGACTCCGGGCTCAAGTGATCCCCCTCAGCCTCCCAAGTAGCTGGGACTGCAGGCACATACCACCATGCCTGGCTAATTGTTTTTGTATTTTTAGTAAGAGATGGGGTTTTGCCCCATGTTGCCCAGGCTGGTCTTGAACTCCTGGGGGCTCAAGGGACCCACCTACCTCGGTCTCCCAAAGCGCTGGGATTACAGGCGTGAACCACCAAGTTGGTTAACTTCTATACTTCTAAATAACATGCCAAATTACTATTTTTTGAGATAACCTATTTCAGACTGTATTTCTAGATTAATAAGGAAAGTGAAGATTTAACTTTATTATACCTCATCTCCTCTACCCTCTTCCCCCATGCAAAGTTGCTTTCTCTCATCCTCCCAATATCTCACATTCGGTTTAGTGTACATATTTTATGACTGTGTAAATATTGTCTACGAATGAACTACATATTGTGTCCTGTGAGTAAACAACCTTTTTTTTTTTTCCTGGAGTTAATCATTGATCCATTTAAAAACTTCTTGTTTTTTTTAATGACCTATCTGCACACTTGGATAGGACTGGTAAATTACAAGCACTCCCAGTCACATCAGGTTATCTATCCATTCCTTTTTTTCCCACCCCCCTTGGAGACCCACTCCTTGGAGTCCTTCCTGCTCCAGTCTGACTGCTTTTGCTCTCCAGGCCTGCTGCCTAGTTGTCATCTGGAGCTTCATCATCATCCTTGGGATTCCCTTTGCCTGTCTTCTCTGGTGGGTCTCCTGTTTCCTACAATCTTAGTCGCCTCCTGAGAAAGGATAAACCTTTGGGTTCTTATCTGAAAATGCCTTAGTTTATCCTAATTGATTAATAGTTTAGCTGGGTGTGGCATTCTAAGTTGGAAATCATTTTCTTGGATAATTTTGAAGGAACTGTCATCTTCTAGCTTTTAGTGCTGCTGTGGCAAAGACGAATGCCAATTTTATTCCTGATGTCAGCCTAGTGTGGGGATTTGTATCTTCATATTTTGAGTACTTGTTGGGCCTTTTTAGTCTTAATAAGCAAATTTCTTCAGTTCTCAAAATTTAAAAAATACCATTTCTTGGCCGGGCGCAGTGGCTCATGCCTGTAATCCCAGCACTTTGGGATGCCAGGGTGGGCGGATCACCTGAGGTCAGGAGTTCAAAACCAGCCTGACCAACAAGGTAAAACCCCTGTCTCTACTAAAAATACAAAAATTAGCCGGGTGTGGTGGCGTGCACCTATAATCCCAGCTCGTCAGGAGGCTGAGGCAGGAGAATCACTTGAACCCGGGAGGCGGAGGTTGCAGTGAGCCGACATTGCGCCACTGTACTCCAGCCTGGGGGAACAGAGCGAAACTCTGTCTCAAAAACAAAACAAAAAACCATTTCTTACATCATTTTCACCCTCTGTATTCTTCCTTTTCTCTTTCTGTAGTCAAGATATTGGACCTGATTAATTCCTTCTCTTATTCATTCACTTATTTTTATTTTATTTTCTGAGACAGGGCCTTGCTCTGTTGCTTAGGCTGGAGTGCAGTGGCCCAGTGACAGTTCACAGAAGCCTTGACTTCCCAGGCTCAAGTGATCCTCCCACCTCAGCCTCCCAAGTAGCTGGGACCACAGGTGCACGCCACCATGCTCGGCTAATTTTTTTTTGAGACAGGTTTCACTCTGTCACCCAGGTTGGAGTGCAGCAGTGCGATCTCTGCTCACTGCAGCCTCTGCCTCCCAGGCTCAAGTGATCCTCCCCCTTCAGCCTCCTGAGTAGCTGAAGGCACATACCAGCATGCCCGGCTAATTTTTTGTATTTTTGGTAGAGACAGGGTTTCACCTTGTTGCCCAGGCTTGTCTCAAACTCCTAAGCTCAGGCAATCCTCCCACCTCAGCCTCCAAAAGTGCTATAGGATTACAGGCATGCGCCACCACATCCTGGTGTTTTTTTGTTTTTGTTTTTTTTAATTGGATAGATTTTCAGCCAGGCCTCCTGCCTTAGCCACACCTTCATTCCATTTCCCCTGGCAAGGGCAACCAGTTCCTTGGCCTTTGGGAATGAGATTTATATATGTTAGGTTGTTTTATCCGCTGCCCAGTTTAGGATTTTCGCTTTTGGGGTGTGCTGAGTCAGTTAGCACTCATTTACCTCTCCCCAGCTTCCAAAATGCTATTGAAGGCCTTCTCATTCTCTTTTTCCTTGTGGGTTTACACCTTTAAAGTTTAAACAAAAACTTTAGTGTTTTTTTTTTTTTTCCTTTGAGATGAAGTCTCACTCTGTCGCCCAGGCTGGGAGTGCAGTGGTGTGATCTCAGCTCACTGCAACCTCCGCCTCCTCAGCCTCCCGAGTACCTGGGATTACAAGCATGCACCACCATGCCTGGCTAATTTTTTGTATTTTTAGTAGAGACAGGGTTTCATCATGTTGGTCAGGCTCGTCTTGAACTCCTGACCTCAGGTGATCTGCCCGTCTCAGCCTCCCAAAGTGCTGGGATTACAGGCATGAGCCTCCATGCCGGGCTTCGTGTCATTTTAGTGGGGTTTCAGGAAAAAGCACGGGGCAAATGCGTGTGTGCAATCTGCTACCATCTATAACTGGAAATCTTCCACACTAATATTGATTTGCCCTTTTCACTTATTTAGGGTTCCTAAGACTTTGGAATTTCTTGGTATTCATTCCTCATCCTTAGGGAATGCAGAATTCTAACAAACTTCTGTGGGATAGATATGCCATCACTCACACACTGGTCTTTACTAATTTAGACCCTTAGTGTTATACATGGCTCATATGAAGAGTAAAGGGGAGCCTGTCGGTAGCTAGGCCCACATGTGTGCATGCCTCCTGGGCTGATGGCTGAATTGCCATTTGCTTCTTATATGACAAGCTCTTAGTGTATGTGCCCATTATCAGAGATATCACGGGCTTCAAAGGTCCAAGCTTGGCCATCCATTCCACTCTTTTCATCATACCCTTTGTGTTCTGACTTTGAAGCTTTTCTAGGTCTTAACATTTTCTTTCTTTGTTTTTCTGTAGGATCATGGATTTTCCTGGTCACTTTGAACAAATCTTCCAGCAGCTGAACTACCAGAGACTTCATGGCCAGCTCTGTGATTGTGTCATTGTAGTGGGGAATAGACACTTTAAAGCCCACCGCTCCGTGCTGGCAGCATGCAGCACGCATTTCCGAGCCCTGTTCTCAGTGGCAGAAGGAGATCAGACCATGAACATGATCCAGCTGGATAGCGAGGTGGTGACAGCAGAGGCCTTTGCTGCACTGATTGACATGATGTATACCTCCACCCTCATGCTGGGGGAGAGCAATGTAATGGATGTCTTATTGGCAGCCTCTCACCTGCATTTGAACTCTGTTGTTAAGGCATGTAAACATTACTTAACGACAAGGACGCTGCCCATGTCTCCCCCCAGTGAGCGCGTTCAGGAGCAGAGCGCCCGCATGCAGCGCTCCTTTATGCTACAGCAGCTGGGACTAAGCATCGTGAGCTCAGCCCTCAATTCCAGCCAGAATGGCGAGGAGCAGCCAGCCCCCATGAGCTCTTCCATGCGCAGTAACCTGGATCAGCGCACGCCCTTCCCCATGAGACGCCTTCATAAGCGCAAGCAGTCTGCAGAGGAGCGGGCCAGGCAGCGCCTCCGACCCTCCATAGATGAGTCTGCCATTTCAGATGTTACACCGGAGAATGGGCCTTCAGGGGTTCATTCTCGGGAGGAGTTCTTTTCACCAGATTCTCTGAAAATTGTGGATAATCCTAAAGCTGATGGAATGACTGATAACCAGGAAGATAGTGCGATCATGTTTGATCAGTCTTTTGGCACTCAAGAAGATGCCCAGGTGCCCAGCCAGTCTGATAACAGTGCTGGCAACATGGCACAGTTGTCCATGGCCTCTCGTGCAACTCAGGTTGAGACTAGTTTTGATCAGGAAGCTGCACCTGAGAAAAGTAGTTTTCAGTGTGAAAACCCTGAGGTTGGCCTTGGTGAGAAGGAGCACATGAGAGTGGTGGTTAAATCTGAGCCCCTGAGCTCACCTGAGCCTCAGGATGAAGTGAGCGATGTGACCTCACAAGCAGAAGGCAGCGAGTCTGTGGAAGTGGAAGGAGTTGTGGTCAGTGCCGAGAAGATAGACCTCAGCCCTGAAAGCAGTGATCGGAGTTTTTCAGATCCCCAGTCTAGCACAGACAGGGTAGGTGATATCCATATTTTGGAAGTCACAAATAACCTAGAGCATAAGTCCACTTTTAGTATTTCGAATTTTCTTAACAAGAGCAGAGGAAATAACTTTACTGCAAATCAGAACAATGATGATAATATTCCAAACACCACTAGTGACTGCAGGCTGGAGAGTGAGGCCCCCTATTTGTTGAGTCCAGAGGCTGGGCCTGCAGGTGGGCCCTCCTCTGCCCCTGGCTCCCATGTAGAGAACCCATTTAGTGAACCTGCAGACTCCCACTTCGTCAGGCCTATGCAGGAGGTGATGGGCCTGCCGTGTGTGCAGACTTCAGGCTACCAAGGAGGAGAACAGTTTGGGATGGACTTTTCCAGGTCTGGTTTGGGCCTCCACTCCTCCTTCTCCAGGGTAATGATAGGTTCCCCAAGGGGAGGAGCCAGTAACTTTCCTTACTACCGCCGCATAGCTCCCAAAATGCCAGTTGTAACTTCCGTCAGGAGCTCACAGATCCCAGAAAACTCTACCAGTTCTCAGCTAATGATGAATGGAGCTACGTCCTCATTTGAAAATGGCCATCCTTCCCAGCCTGGCCCTCCACAGTTGACCAGGGCATCTGCAGATGTTCTGTCAAAGTGCAAGAAGGCCTTATCAGAGCACAATGTTTTGGTTGTAGAGGGAGCTCGCAAGTATGCCTGCAAAATCTGCTGCAAAACTTTTCTGACTTTGACAGATTGCAAGAAGCACATCCGTGTTCACACAGGTGAAAAGCCTTACGCCTGCCTGAAGTGTGGCAAGAGGTTTAGTCAGTCCAGCCACCTGTATAAGCACTCAAAGACTACCTGCCTGCGCTGGCAGAGCAGCAATCTTCCCAGCACTTTGCTCTAGCTGTTTGTCCTTACAAGACAACGCTGAGGCCAGTTGTCAGACTGAATTTCTTTTGGTAAGCAGTTAATGCCTTTGGGTTCGAGGCTTCCAGCTGCCCAGTGGCTCTTAAACAGTTTAGCAACTAATAACCGGAGAACTAACATGTAGTATTTGTGCTGCTGCATTTCTGAGTGAAGTGCACGTCTTGGGAAAGGGATGCAATCCCTGAAACCAGGTGCTTCCTTGGGGTTGAGTAATGCAGTCAGAAAGTAGTTTGTAATTGATATTAAAAGTGGCACATTTAAAAATTTAAAAATTGAAGTGCAAAAAAAATTTTTTAGCAATTTTTGTAAAACTGTGTAGCATTTAAATTTCCTATACCTTCTGATGGGAGTATTATATCCCTGTATAGTGATGCAAAATGCACTTATGTGTAACCAGTGGTGATTTGGTGCCTGTCTTAAAGGAAGGCCTTTGAGGACACACCTGTCTGCCACAAATGCTTTAAAGTGTATCATGAGCTAGTCCTAGGCCTCAAAGTACTGTATTTTTTATTTTTACCTGATTTGCAGTCATAAACACTGCACTTTGGTGCTGACACTGGGTCCAGAGTGAGCATTCTCTTGGACTATTAGATGTATATACTTTTGAATACATCACTGTTGGATAGATGTTTTAACAGTTTTTTCTGGTTTAAAAACCAAATTGTAAATGGAGTGTGTACTTGTAGAGAGTGACAAGGTATTGTTTCCCTATGTGCTGTTTGAGCAGTATTTTAACCAACTTGTATTACAGATGTTACAGTTCCATGTTAG
Source organism: Homo sapiens (assembly GCF_000001405.40). Classification (NCBI taxonomy): domain Eukaryota; kingdom Metazoa; phylum Chordata; class Mammalia; order Primates; family Hominidae; genus Homo; species Homo sapiens. Next base: position 37,439,723 of record NC_000009.12, on the reverse strand, counting down.
GAAGTCAGAAAAGACTTGTGTTTGTCTTTGTTCTGCTGATGTGGAGTCATGTTTTGTGGGGTCTTCCATGGCACATTTACCTGTTGCTCCGTCCAGATGTTGAGGGCCAGTCTAGGCTGACACATCCTACCCGAGGACAAGCCTGTTCTCCATTTCTTCACTCTCCCCTCCCCATATAGCAACTCTCCCAGGTTTAGATTACCGTTTTCGACGACAGATTAACCAAAAATGCCCCACACAGGTTTTATTACTGTTATATACTATACTTTTAACAGTACAGACCCTAAATTTTATTATTTGTTGCTCCCCCAATCTGATACCAAATGTTTAAAGTTGTTTGAAATCCAAACATGGTAGTGTTCATGGGTAAATATTTTCTAGGCTATGTAAGAGTTAGCAGCCCATAGCATAGAAGTAATCAAGTAGCATCTGAGACTGTTGGAGGCACTAGGGCCTCTCTGGGCCCTACAGCCTCACTTCCCCAGCCTCACCTTGCTGTCCTCTGACACTGCCATCAGGGCTGTTAGTGGCACCTGTATGAGGCCAAGTGTGCGTCCAGGGGAACAGCACAGGTTAATGCGTCTCCCTAGAACTCATGAAGTCAGTTTAATTCATGCATGAACATGAGTTCATTTTATGTTTTATATAGCTTTCTTAGACATACCAAACCATCATTCATAAATCAGATAAATTATTCAGTTTTTGTGTTTAGAAAGCTAAGTATGTGTAGCTGGAAACAAAAATGAGCGTGTTTTCTCTCCTGTTAATCTAGAGTGTGCAGTTACACATGTGTGGATAATTTCATGTTCCAGGGGCGCTTGGCATCTCCCATGGACTGATTCCCAGGAAGAAAAGCCCAAAGGGAAACCCACGATTCCTTTCGAGTAGATGTGGGAAAGAGCCCATTGGAGGATATGAGGTCCTGTGAAATTCAGTTGTGTGTGTGGCTCCTTGTTAGCAGTCATGTTGACATGGTGTTAGGAGGCTCCCCATCCACCCTTTACATGATGTAGGGACCAGTGTCTTGTGAGATTAACCTTGGGACACAGTGGGTTAGCCTGGAGAAAATGAGAGGCCCTGCCTGGACCCAGGGAGAGGAGCCAGTGACACAGGCAGAGCGGTGCAGCCCTCCTTCCCTTCCATTTGGAGGAGGTGGTGCCAGGAGCCTGCCCGCTTACCTCTGCTGAAGCATAAGTGGACTTTGCTTTTGGGGCTTATCTCTGATACATGCTGGAGCCCTGCCTCTCCACTGCTAGATGGAACCTGGAATCTCTCATCTACCTCTTAGTCTGTCAGTTTCTACGTGTGAGAAGCAAGCTTGTGGGCCAGTGTCCTTGTACATGCTGTAGCACTTAAAAAATAATTCCAGGGTTCCCTGGAAAACCAGTCCCAGGGTTCCTATGATCTGTAGTTTCTACCTGGATTATAACTGGTTTTGGGTACCTGAATTTTGATTGGTTAGCCTTAATTATAGTCTGGCGTGATCATGTAGAATCTTTTCTGGTGAACAGATCATAAAGTTCTATCAAGGAGTTCTATCAAGGCATCCATGTCAGTGGTGCTATGCTGGTTACAACTTGAGATTTTTGAAATAAAAAATTTGTCATATTCATGCCTCTAAATATGTGTTCTTTTTCTTTACGTTATTAAGGTTGAAACCAAAGAGGGTAATATCTCTTTGCCAGCCCTTCTTTGACTAGTACTTTGTTTTAAACCAAACCTTCTATTAACAGTTAATTGGTCGTTCCTCTCAAATCATTCCCTTCTGCCTTCCCCCGCCTTTTCTGTCTTTGAGCTACGCACATGCATGAGATTTTGCTTTTCAGTCTACCCAGTTGCTCTCTGAGGGCCTGCGTAATCTTGTGCTGCTCCCTGGACCTGCCTCCCAAGTTGGAAACTCCATCTGCCAGTTTGGCTTGGCTGCTGGGAAGAGCTGGAAGCTGATTCCTTGAGCACAGAGCAAGGCATTGGCAATGGCAGTGCTGTGGCCTGACCTTGGAGAGAAGTGGGTAAGGTGGTGATTAAAAAAAAAAAAAATCCACCTGGGGGCAGGGAGGGGCTGGGGGGACAGAATGGGCAAAGGGAACAATATGTGTAGGTGCTGAAACTAATTTTAAAATTAAACCCACCTACCTCTAATCGTTCTGACCAAAATAAGAGTTACGTCCTTACCTAGTTCTCATTTCTTCCAGTTAACTCCTTTTCTGGAAGTGCTCCTTAATTTTCCTGATGGTCTAGGTATCAAGATTCAAGTGCCATGGTCACAACTGGGTTCTGTTTGTCCCGTCCTTGGTGAGGGACAAGTGAAGGAATCTGGGCAGAGAAGATGAGGGGTAAGGTGGTTTGGACACGTTCCAATAAGGAAAATGCCCAGGGCTGAGGGCTGGGGTGGGAAGCAGAGCCAGGCAGATCATTGGATGCTGTGACTTTGAAACATGCTCTTTGTATTTTTAAAGTTTTTTTTGAAACGGTGTCTTGCTACATTGCCCAGGTTAAGTGTAGTGGTGATTTAAAGAGTGATCATAGCACACTGCAGGAAACGGTATCTTGCTACATTGCCCAGGTTAAGTGTAGTGGCGATTTAAAAAGAGTGGTTATAGCACACTGCAGCCTTGAACTGGCCTCAAAGGATCCTTCCCGCTCAGCCTCCTGAGTTGCTGGGACTATAGGGGTGCGTCACCATGCCCAGCCATATCCACTTGTTAGCTTCCCCATTTACAGGCCAAGACGGTCTCTCAGAGAATTATTTAATAATAGAATTACCATACTTTTGGCGCAAATGTGTCCAACACCAATGTGACAAGTACATATATCAGAATCACTCTTTCCTCAGAGAATCACACCTTCCCTTGGCTCTGCCTGTGGATCCAAATCAAGCCTGGGTGTGTCTGACAATACCAGGGCACGGTTTGCTTCCCGGCCCTCCATCTCTACTGTTTGGCTACAGCTTGAGTTCACTAGGCATCGGCTCCCCTCTCAGGCCAGCCAGCAAGTTGTTAGCTGCCAACAAGGACATGGTGTTGCGGGTTCTGTGGGTGGCACTGCCAATGTGGGGCAGAATCACTGGAAAGGAGAGAGAGAGAGAGAGGGAGATAAGAAGGGTGGTTCAGCAGCCTTCAGCTGGGCTGTTTTCATGGCTTGGGTTTGCCGGTAAGAAGAATAAAGAGAGACTACCTCATGGTTCCATGCTTTGCCTTCTCTCCCACCTTCACTAAGCTTGACACTCCCCCAGAGCTGAGGTTCAGACTAACAGAGTGAAGGGCCTCCAGGCTACTAAAACCCAGTCACAATGTGATGAAAGATTTGTATTCTAGGGCTGGGCGCAGTGGCTCATGCCTGTAATCCCAGCACTTTGAGAGGCCAAGGCAGGCAGATAACTTGAGCTGAGGAGTTTGAGACCAGCCTGGGCAACATGGCAAAACCCCGTCTCTACAAAAAATACAAAAATTTAGCCAGGCGTAGTGGCCCACACCTATAGTCCCCGCTACTTGGGAGGTTGAGGCAGAAGGATTGTTTGGGCCTGGGAGGCAGAGGTTGCAATAAGCTGAGATTGCACCATTGCACTCTAGCCTGGATGACAGAGGGAGACTCTGTCTCAAACAAAAAAATGGTGAACGCATAGGAGTTTAGCACTGGCCACCTGTACCATGTGCCCTTGAAAATGATGCCACATGACCACAAGGTTTCTGATCTACAGAAATAACTCCAAAATGAAATGCTGAACAGCACAGTTATCTCTGATCCCACCCCAGAGCAAGTGAACTTACTTGCCCCCAAAGAACCGTCAGCTGGGTGCAGTGGCATATTCCTGTAGTCCCACCTACTCCAGATGCCGAGATGCAAGGTTCGCTTGAGCCCAAGAGTTCGAGGCCAGCCTGGACCACATAGCGAGACATCATCTTTACCAAATAAACCCCATAAAACTGCTTTTGGGTTTTTTCCAGGTAGAAATCATGTTTCCTTTTAATTGAGTACATTTTCTTCTTTAAATTTTATCATTATTGTAATAGGGTCTTTGTTGCCCAGGCTGGTCTTGAACTCCTGGCCTCAAGTGATTCTCCTGTCTTAGCCTCCCAAAGGGCTGCGATTACAGGTGTGAGCCACTGCGCCCAGCCATAATTCAGTACTTAATTCACAGAGTTTCTTCTCCTCTCTGGTAACAATTAGGTCCCCTCCTCTCAAGAACATTGCATCTGATCAAACTGAGAGCCAGCATGAACATGGACCCCAAACCAGAGCTTTCAGAATAACAATGAACAGCAAAAACCAGCCTTTCCCTACACTTAGGAAGGGACTGTGAATGGCAGGGTCCAAATTTTCACCATCCAAATAGAAAACCCGGAGCTGAATGCCAACATGGAAACCAAAATATGTCAGGAATGAAGTATAGTACCCCTTTACATACTCAAGGTCAGGATAGGTTTGGAGAAATTTGCATCTGACTATTTGGCCTCTTCTAGTAGAGAAGAGTTTTTGAGACAGGGTCTTGCTTTGTTGCCCAGGCTGGAGTGCCATGGCATAGTCAGCTTACTACAGCCTCAACCTCCTAGGCTCAAGTGATCCTCCCACTTCAGCCTCCTGAGCAGCTAGGACTAGAGGTACATACCATTACACATGGCTAATTTTTTATTTTTTATAGGGATGGGGTTTCACTATGTTGCCCAGGCTAGATTCGAACTCTTGGTCTTAGGTGATCCTCCCGCCTTGGCCTCCTAAAGTGCTGGGATTATAGGCGTGAGCCACCCTAATCAGCCCCACCCCAACGTTTCAGACATATAATGAATCAGAATAAATCCGCTCACTCACAAGAAACATTCCTGGATAATGGTTTTTGGTTGCTGAGATTGAGTAGCACATTATTTCAAAGTGGCAAAATTCAGGGCCATCTAGGAGAATTCAAAAGTGGTGGCTATATTTGCCGACAGGTTTACACAGGACACATATAAAACAACCCCCATTTTTTTAGCGTATATGTCAAGAGGCCAAGACCCCGATCATCAAAATATGTTATTTCGTACATTACAGTTTACAGGACAACAGAGGGAAAGACACTTTGTTGGAGGGTGACTAAATGGCATTTTGCAAAAGGTCCGTGTCACTCTGAAGGGGTGGAAGGACTGGAGTCCTATGGCCTTCATTAACTTGACCCCTCCTCCTCTTTGGTTGCAGTGGCCTCAGTGGGAGCTGCTACTTCTACATGTTCTGCGGGCTTTTCCTCTACCTCTGCCTCACCTTCTTGGGGACAAAGATCTGGGTATTTCTGCATGCATTCCTGCATGGCCCCAATTGGTCTACACAGTCTGACCCCTTGACATTCTCCATACTATAGTGGAAGCAGGAAAAGTCCAGCTTGAATTGTTCCCCACAGGGGCCGCTGGCCCTTCCCCCAAGGCACAGGCAGTTCCAGTTAATGTCTCCATTTGGCAGCCTCAATCCGTGCTCCCCCCATAGGGATCACTGGGGTCATCAGCTGTGTTGCTT